>NC_000006.12:8241818-8393333 GCF_000001405.40 Homo sapiens | reverse complement strand
ATTATCTGAAAAATTTGAATGTACATCCAGTGATGCAGAAATTCCACTCACAAGCACATACAACAGAAATGTAGGCATGTGTATATCAAAAGACACATACAAAAATATTCATAGCAGCATCATTCAGAAAAGCAGAAACTGAGTCACCCAAATACAGTAGTCACCTACAGTCCAATGGGTTAAAAAAAATTGTGCTATACACATATAATTGAGTGAATAGGAAAGACTTACCACTACTCATGGCAACAATAATTTGACATACATAATGTCACATGAAAAAGCATAAATACAAAAGAGTATAAACTATATGATTCTGTTTACGTAAAGTTACAAAAAAAAACAAAGGCAAAGCAAAACTACAATGGTTAGGGATCCATGTTTTGATGGTAAAATTATCAAGAAAAGCAAAGAAGTGATAACGTAAAAGACAATTGTATTTTGGGAGAAAGGAGAGATTAGGGCTGGAGAGGGCTGGCCTGAGGAGGCTTGTGTGGTGGGGCAATGTTTTATTGGCCTGTGTCATGTTTACACTGGTGTGCCCTTTGAGAAATATAACTGAACTGTGTGTTTTGAATGGGTGGAGTTTTCTGTATTACATTCCACAATAAAAGAGTCTTCTAAAAGAGGAAGTGGGCTGGGGGAAGAAAAGAAACATTCTTTAGAAGACCTCAGCAGCTCTCTAAAAATGGAGACTCTTAGATCAACCTATGCGTATTTCTTTGTCTTAAATCTTGTTTTCCTCTTCCAGGAAAAGATCCATTCCTTCCTTTTGGGCCGCATCAGACATTTTTAATAAAATATGAGATTTTCTTTTAACAGCACTTTCTTTTAATTGGAGTAATTTTAACACGCTCAAGTTGTGTACTTGGTTAATGACAGTAGCAGCTGATTAAATGGATGTAACTTACACCCACACATGCCCACCTTCACATACATACTTATTTTTTAAACCCTCCTTTAAAGACAGTATATCTGACTTTAAGGGATATATTCAGTCATTAGATGCTCTTTCATCACATGCTGCATGAAGTGTTTTCCATTTAGAAGACAGATCTGAAACACCAGCCTTATCATTCTTGGGTTTGCAATTGAAGTATAAAATCTTGCCAGAGTTGCATCCATTAAAATAAAACAGTCTTGGAAATTAAGCACTAATTTCCCCTTCAAATGGCCACTTCTGGTTTTTTTCTTTCTAATTACCACTGTAATGAAGTGGCCAGTATTATGGTAGGAAGTGATTTCAAAGGCAGCAATCTCTTATTATGAATTATAGGCTTTATTTTCCACCCTAATGGGAGTCAGCCTTAGTTATCAAAAATGCATGTGCAAACTCCATCTCTGCTGAGACTAAAATAGTTTTGGAATAACAAATCATACTTTCAGCTCAGAGAGAGAGTAGGCCTTCAAGCATTTCACTAAAGCAAAGATGAAGAGGAAAACCATTATATTTTCACTACAGGATCATTTCTAACCTGTTGCACTCTAATCTGTTGCTCTCTGTAGCAGAATTTCAGCATATTAAAACACTGCTATATTAATAACATCTGATAAGGACAATTTGTATCAAGATAGATATGAAGAAAGGCACTTAGAAAACCATAAAGTACTCTAAAAGTAATACTTTTTGTGAAGCCATTAACCTGACCACAGGGACTCCTTTGGGTCGTGCAGTCCAGTCTGCTTCTAACATGGGCAGTGGCCCTTTCTGTTTCCTGTCAACGTGAGGTTTGACCTAAATATCTTGCTTTCATTTGTTGAAAAGGAAATTCTCTTTTAACTTTGATTATATCCCATGTGGACTTTCAATTTTTCTATGTCTCCTTGAAATTCTTTCCTGTCGAATGATTATAATGTGCCACTGCTTCTTGCCTGTGAGTTGGGGCACAGGTAACACCCACAATCATGCGCCAAGCTTTTAGCAGCTTTGTTAAGTGGGTATTGTGATTGTTTAGTCCAAAATAAGTAACGATAAGCATGCCCCCCATTCTTTGGTGTCAGTACTATCAAATTTAAATGGGAAAAGCCTCTAGAAATGAGTTGTTATCCATCTGAAAAAGCCATGCTGGGGTCTGCAATTTAAACCACTGGGTTTTTTTCTGATGGCAAAATAGAAAAGATCATCATGCTGACCATTTCAATTGCCTACATTGTGTATCAGATTATTTTATCTTCTCATATGTAGGAAAATGATAACTTCTTACTCTGATGTCAACAGTAGCAATTTGGTAATGGACAAGAGAAATCAATTTCCCTCATGGGCATTTCTGAGTCTAAGTTTGGACCCACATGTGTTTCCCAAGAGTCTTTCTTCATCCTGTAACTTTGGTTGACCAATGATGTATTCACTGTAGGTTAATGGGAGTAGAAAATGCAAACTGGATCTTGAAAAAAAACAGAAAAGCATTACCAACTTTAAAAATTCAATCTGTGAACACTTTTGACTATGCAGAATAACTCATGTTTCATGAAGACATTCTTTCTTCATTTTAAAACAAATAGAAAGAAGTCTGCCTAAAAAGGTGATGGAAACTTTGGCTCAAAATACAATGATTACTGCCTGTGTTGAAAAATTATACAGACTGTCTGTGTAGAAAAACTATATAATCCCGGCACTTTGGGAGGCTGAGGTGGTCAGATCACTTGAGGTCAGGAGTTCGAGTCCAGTCTGGCCAACATGGCGAAACCCCATCTCCACTAAAAGTCAAAAAAAAAAAAAAAATTACCTGGGCATGGTGGTGCACACCTGTAATCCCAGCTATTTGGGAGGCTGAGGCAGGAGGACTGCTTGAACCCAGGAGGCAGAGGTTGCAGTGGGCTGAGATTGTGCCACTGCACTCCAGCCTGGGTAACAGAGTGAGACTCTGTCTCCAAAAATAAAAAATAAAAACTATACAGATAGTAAAAAGATGAGGGTGGGCACAGGCTGGGTGGGGTGGGAAAGGGAAGGGGAGGATGGATAGGCAAAGCACAGGTGAGACTATTCTGTGTGATACTACACTAGCAGATACATGATGTTATACATGTGTCAAAACCTATAGAAGTACAACTAAGAGTGAACCTGAAAGTGAACTATGGACTATAGTTAATAATATATTGATATTGGTACATTAGTTGTAACAAATGTACCACACTAGTGAAAGATGTTAATAATAGAGAAACAATATATGTGGTGGGAATGGGATGCATATATGGAATTGTACTCAATTTTTCGGTAAATCTTTAACTATACTAATAAAAACTCCTTAATTATTTTATTAAAAAGAAAGGGATGAAAACACCTACACAGCAGGAAAGGAATACCCGGTTCTCTTAGTGGAGGTATGGGTGTAAACCCTCAGCCCCAAAACTTGCCCCAAAATGGTATGAGTTATTCGTAAAATTGAAAACCTTGCACATATGAATAGACCTAAAACAACAATAACTTTTTTGAAGTTTTACGATTCCTACATTCATCTGGATTTTATCATAAAGTAGAAAAAGGAGAAAGCCATTCCCTGTTCACCTAGGTATTTTAATAAATGTTAGATGTTCCCCTTAAAAATGATTTGCTTGTTCATTGTGAAAAATTCAGGGAGTAAAAGGCAATAATAAAAGAAAATCATTTTAAATATTAAAAGATACACAAATCCATAATGACAAGGACATTAAAGGCAAAGATCTAACAAGCCAGCACTAAAAGGTTGGGCGGAGTGAGCAGCTTAGGCATATAATTGCAGATGATTAACAGCAAAGGGTGTTTAGATAGCTGCAGGTAGTTTGGTGCAGCTGAAACAGATTTCAATTAGGGTTCGGCTGCAGATGGAAGCAGGGGGGCCTTGGAGTTTGCATTTGGTTCTTTGGGAGTACGAAGCTATTGTAAGGCCTTTGGCTGGAAGTAACATGATTCAGCAGTATCCCTCAGGAATGAGACAGGGACAAAGCTGGGGGGACTAGTGAGGAGATGAACTAGAATAATGCAGATTAAACTTGATGAGAGTTGTATTGAAGGAATATCCAGAGGAGAAGACTTTGAGAGAGAGAATGCAGGCAGAACAATAAGCCTAGATGGATACTCGGATGTGAAGAGGGAAAGCACTTGAGCATGACTCCCAGCTCAGTTATGATGTCATTAAATTTATGACACTGGAAATTTAGGGGAGAGTGGGCAGATGGGAAAGGCAGAGAGCAGAGCATAGTGAAGGCAGCTAAATTCAATTGGGGCATGTTGAGATTGAGTTCTCTGTGGTCATTCAGACAGAACTGTCCACTAAGAAGAAATGGAATCTATGGTTCTGCAGGTCAGAATGGTCTGTACCAGAGATGAAGTCATCGGTCTACAGATGAATTGAGTGAAAGCAATCACCCAGAGCCAGGCAAGGTGTCAGAGCTCCAACATCAAAAGGTGGTTGACTGGTGGGTTGGTAAGAAGAATTTACCACTGACCGTATAGGACTGGAAAAGGAAAGGTTTATTAGGTAGAAAGAACGCTGTCGAAGAGTGCAGCTGCAGCGGAGCACCTCAGCAAGAGAGGACTGAGTGCAACACAGTGGATCCTTCCTCAGGGGTATTTATGGACCTTAAAGCCGGAGCTGAAGGTAATTTGGACCATATTAGCCCATTAGTATCATTAGATAAATGATTACATTTGTAGACATTTTTGTGCTTAATGCCAGCCAGGTTGGCACAATGCGTTCAGCATGCACGTATTCTGGAGATGTACAGAAATTCTAGTTACTTATAAATTTATAAGTAAATAAAATAAATTTATAAGTAACTAGAGTTTATAAGTAACTTCTATCTGGTACAAAAGAAGCTTTGTACCAGACGCCAGCTTTAGATAATAGGGAAGTCTAATTGATACAGGAGATAGAAAGAAATTATTTAGGCAGATAGTAAGGACAACAGAGTCCTTGGCGGAATTTCCCTTTTAACAAAAAGCACCTCAAAATTATTTCTTTTCTAACAACAAAGAGCAGCCTGAAAAATCGAGCTGCAGACATAGATAAGCAAGCTGGAAACTTGCACTGGTGAATGCCGGCAGCCGCGCCAATAGAAAAGGGCTACCTGAGGGCCAGGCATGTTCAACATGGAGGCTCCATCTTCCCTTTCTTCGTCACCACGTGTACAGTAAAGAACCAGGCAACATGGCGCCAGCCGGGTAGAGAGCTCATCTGCATAATAAAAGATTAGGGTGGGGGCAGCCAGTTTCTTCATGTGCTATGCATATGAGACACCTGGTCTGACCAATCTTTGGTGCCCTATGTAAATCAAACACTGTCCCCTCAAGCTCCTCTGTAAAACCTGTATTCCACTGCGGAAGCCACAACCCGTTTTCTCTGGGACTTTTCTCTGCACAGAGATCTTTTCTTTCTTTCGCCTATTAAACTTCTGCTCTAACTGCACTCTTTGTGTGCCCACATCCTAGTTTTCCGTGGCCATAAGACAACGAATCTCGGGTATTTACCCCAGACAAGGAAGCCGCTTCATAATTACTTCTAAATTCCTCAGATAAGGAGTTTTGTCTTCAGGTGGCCTGCTTGATGGTCACCAGGTGATCTTTGCTCTCCTCACCGAGGAGGCGTCATGTACACTGGGAAGAAAGGAGACCTCAGGACAGAACTCTGGGAAACAGCCTCCAATGGGCAAGCAAAGGGGCTTAAAGACAAGTGGAAAGAGAGGGCTAGGAGGCTGGTGCCATGGAAGGCAAGAGAAAGGAATTTTATGTGCTGGTGAAAAACGTTACTAAGTATTTTCCTTCTTCATTTATAGAGTATTCTAAAAAAAATCAGAAGATGAAATCGGGTGCCATATATCTTCTATCTTTGAAATATTAAAAATGTGGCTGAGTTAAATCAATCTAATGATAATAGAATGCCAAGTAAGAATTAATTTAAAGATTGTTGTATTCAACTTCTCAGCACTAGAGTCTAGAGAAGAAATACTGCTGGCATCTCCTGGTGTGATTTACCACACCATCATGGCTTATACATTTGTGAACTTTTCAGAGAAAAAGTAAAGCAATATAATCTGCACTCGCCTTAGAGTCAGAAGACCTGAGTTTAAAATATTCCTGTCACTTACCAGTTGGGGACAAATCATTTAACGTCTCTGAGGTCCTATTAGGAGATGGCAAATTCTGGAAATTAAATATGTTGAATATAACTTTTTAATAATTCAATTTGTATTCCTCAACTCTTTTGTATTCATCACATACTTCCAAATATTGGAAAGTTTGATGCCATTCCGGAGATTAGCTAGTATTTTCTTTTAGCATAATACCTGATTAGAGGTAGCACACAGGTGCCCCCGAGATCATAAACGTTCCTCCCTCTTTGTGAAGATTCTGTTGCAAATGTATACAGAGGGCAAATGGCTGAGAAACCCTTAACTATGCCCATTTTAAGTATAATAATTGGTGTGCAACTTAGCATTTTAGTTAGATCCTAGATTTTTTTAATTGAAATTTCCCCAAAATCATTATCTATAGGATTGTTGAATGTTTACTTCAACATGTTTACAGAATGTTTACAGAAACATATACAAACAAAACATAAACAGGTTTTCTGATATATAGCAGAAACGTAACAATGGTCTTCCTCTCCACCATCAATCCCAGTCTGTTAATATCTCACTGCAGCTGGAAGGTGACCTCCACATTATATCCTAAACCTGTGTAATAAATAATAGTAGATGTCTAAAGCCCATCACAACAGCAAATGGAGTGGCACACAGCATACTGTCCTCTCAGATTTCCACATAAGGGGACACTGGCAGACCGTTTGTTACCTTAGTCATTTGCAAGGGGGAAAAAGAATTTGATTCTTAGAAAGGATCAACCTGAAAGCAAAGTACATATCCCTTGACACACCAAACTGGAACTTTGCTTTTTATTGTGTTTTTCTTTTTAGACAGGTTTATTGAGATATAGGCATAATTTAGTAAAATCACTGTTTTTCACATAAAATTCTATGGACTTTGACAAACACACACAGCAGTATAACATATAGCCTCATCACTACAAAGGACTGAGTACTGTAAGATCCTTGTCCCTTTGTAATCAACCTTTCTATCCAATCAGCTCCTGGAAACCAATGATATGGTTTCTGCTTCTGTAGTTTTGCATTTTCCAGAATGTCTTATAAAATAGAATCAAAGAGTGTGTCTGGCCTTTTGAGCCTGGCTTCTTTCATTTAGCATAAGGCATTTGAAATTCATCCATATCACATCATGTATCAGTGGCATGTCCCTTTTCATTGCTGAGTAGTATTTCATTGTATGAATGTATTGCAGTTTATCATTTTGCCTGTTGATGAACATTTGGGGTGTTTCCAATTTTGGTGATTACAAATAAAGTTGCTATAAACATTTATAAATAGGTTTTTATGTGAACATGTTTCATTTCCCTTAAATACCTAGGAGTGGGATTTTCATGTCGTGTGTTTCACTTTATCAGAAGCTTCCAAACTGTTTTCCTGAGTGGCATTCCCTTCAACCATGTGAGGGTTCCAGTTGCTCAGCACCCTTACCAACACTTGATATTAGAAAGTTTTTATATCTTAGCCATTCTGATAGGTATACAATGGCATCATCTCGTTGTTTTCATATGCATTTCCCTAATAAATATGATGTTGAGTATTTTTCATGTGTTTATTGTCCATCTGTATATCTTTTTTGGTAAAGTCTTTGTTCAAATCCTTACCTCTTTGTTAACTGAGTTATTTCCTCATTATTGATTTTTAGGCATTCTTGATATATTCTGCATGCAAGTTTTTTTTAATCAGATACATATTTTGCAAATATTTTTACAAATGTTTTCCAAATATTTTCTCCCAGTGTATGGCTTTTCATTTTTCATAAGCATGTTCTTCAAAAAGCAGAAGCTTTTAATTTTAATTTTGATGTAGTCTAGTTTATCATGTTTTTCTTTTGTAGATCATGATTTTTATCATCTCCAAGAAATATTTTTACCCAAGACCATGACATTTTTCTTCTATGTTTTCTTCTAGAATTGTTTTTTAGAAGACAAATCTAATCATCAAATAATTTAGAAATTATTTAACTTTTACATTTAGGTCTATTATACTTTTTGAGTTAATGTTTCCATATAATGTGAAGTATGGGTCAAAGTTCATTATTTTGCATATGGATATTCAATTGTTCCAGCATCATTTGTTTCAAAAACATTCCTTTCTCACTAAATTGTCCCTGCATTTTTGTAAAAATCAACTGACTCTTCATGCATGGGTCTACTTCTGAACTCTCTACTCTGTTTCATTCATCTCTGTGTCTGTCATTTTGCCATCACTGCACTGTCTGGTTATTGTAGCTTTATAATAAGTCTTAAAATCAGGTAATGTGAGTCCTTCCCTTTTCTGCTTTTTCAAGATTGTTTAGGCTACTCTAGTTCCTTTGTCTTGTACAATTTAGAATCAGCTTGTCAATTTCTTTTTAAAAATTGCTTCTGAGATTTTGCTTGGGATGGAGTTGAAATTATAGATCTCTCTATATAAGATTATAGATTAATGAGAATTGACATCTTTATATTAAATTTGCCAATCCCTGAATATTGTATAAATATTCATTTATTTAGGTCTTTGATTTCTTTCATCAATATATTGTTGAATATACAGATTCAACAATATTCCAGCATATATATCTTGCACATGTTGTTAGATTTCATGTTTTGAAGGCTATTATAGATTGTACTTTTTGAAATTTTAATTTCCGATTGTTCATTGCTGGTATGTAGAAATACAATTGATTTTTCTATATTGATTGGAGTTTGAATTTCAGTTACAAGTTTCCTCCTGGACATTATATATACTAGAACAGTGGTCTTTCAACATGATTGATCTTCAAAATGGCCTGGAGAATCATAAATGTACAAATAAATAGATTCCCAGACCCCACCTCCCACAGGTTCTTATTTCATAGTTCCTGGGATAGGCCTAGGAATTTATATTTAAAAAGCTTCCTTCAGTAGTTCTGTCTTTGTTGAGGTTTGGGAATCGCTGTTAAGCATTTGTGGGAATCAATTATTTAATAAATAAGGCAGATATGGCAAGTAACATAATTCATTTCTTGTACTGACACTACAACCTATATTCATTAGGCATTTCCAGTTGGATTTCTGGTGATAGATTTGTAGTGATATATGTGTTCTAAAACTCAGCCCCTCCTTTTTAGCCAGTGGCACATATTTGTTGGAAATTGTGCCACATTACTAACTGGGGTTAGAAGCTCACTAAAATTCAGTCTATGGCCACACTTGGCCAGATTATCATAATAATGAGCATACTATATAGTATTGCTTTGGGGAGGGACAAATAAAAAGACACTGGCTGGAAAAAAAAATGTAATAAAAATTTGGTTAAATTCTAGGGTGGTCTGCCAAGATGAAGAATGGTGATAAAGGGATTGTTGAGTACAAGTGCTACAAAGTCACCTTCAAGTAGTTTTGGTGGGTGCTGGTGGGGGGTGAGCGAGGTGGGAGGCGAATTTATTACCAGGGCATTGCAGTAGCTCTTAGAAGAATCTAAGAGCAGTGATTGCAGATTGGCCTCCCAGGGGACCAGAAGAAAGACAAAGACAGCAATCAGGATTCCAGGAAGATCCTGTGTTCCTTCTGTTCCTATGAGTGCTTCTTGCTTCCCTCTTGTTTTCTTTCCTGCAGAGCAGCTTTCTCTGCTCCCTTTCAATCAAGAATGTCCCAAAATGAGACTCCAGCTTTTAAGTCTACATGACCCCAGAAGTCACACAGATGTCCAACTCACCAAGAAGCTCAGAATAGGAGAATTGGTCTTACTCGTATTAAGGAACCACCCATTGATAATATTGACTGATGAGGGCTATGGTAAATGATCTTCAGAGAAAGAAAAGGATTCTCTGAGAAAGATTCACTAAGGCATGCAATTTGATTAACACCTGCCATAAATGGATGCCATATTTGGAATCTCTCCTCTAAAGTATGAATGATAGCCATATAGTGATATGAAGTCTGTCTGTGACAACAATATGGCATGTCCCATGTAAGTGGACATATTTTGAATTGTCTAATAAACTAAAAACAGCATTTGCTAAATAAAACTCTAATGCTGGTAAAGGAAACATTCTATCCTGAACGCATAAAGCTTGAATTTAGTCTATCCTTTTTAACATGAGCATTACAGAAACAGTATTGGGGTAATTAAAACTAAACTACTTCTAAATAAACAAGCTAACTACATAATGGCACCATGGAAATAAGGCCACTTACTTGGATTTTATACTACGTTTTTCTTCTTCACTACTTCTCAGATTGTAGTGGTTTCCAGATTGTACTTGAGAGTTTAATAAATTTGTGCATAAGCGTTGGCATTACAGAGCTACCGGCATTGCGGAGGGGAAGGTTTTCATGTGCTATACAGAAGTGTTCTAGAAACATTGGAACCAGTGTATACATTCTTCAGAAGTAAGTCCTAGAGTCATAGAAATCAGACTGTTAAAATGCAGTCTTATAGTGATCTATACCTCACTTTATAGAAGAGGAAATTGAGGGCTCTGGAGATTATGCAAACTGTCTAGGTCTCACTCTGAGTTATTGGCAGGACTGGCCTGGGATTTCTGATTCTCAGCTGAGCTGCCTTCTGTGAAACACATTTTCCCACTTAAAAGCTCTAGACAGAAAAAATAACAAAAGTGAGCTTTTCAATGCCAAGTCTGTTGTTCTTCCTGAAGAAACAAGTCTGAACAGGGTTTCCTCAGCTCTCGCCTTGCTTCTGATTCCCACATCTGTCTAGCTGTATCTCTCTCCTTTACTACACTTCTCTGTCTGGGAGACCCAGCTTAGATTTCATATCCACTGCTTTATTAGAATGCTACTTTATCTCCAAAGACTATTTCTGTGTTGCTGATAGTTTTATAAATGCACCTGGGGTTTACAAGTGATACCTGGTGTAAGGATTTATGTGACTAAAAATATTTAGGCTTAAATACAGCAGCAGAAGAAAATGTCTTAGACTTTTAATAAAAGAGTTGACATTGATGAGTGAATGAACTGAATGGTTCCCCCCATACCTCACCGGCAAAATTTATATGCTGAAGCCTTAACTCCTACTACCTAGAGATAGGTGGGGTCTGGGAGAAGGTGATAAAGGTTAAATGAGGTCATAAGGACGTGGACTTAATTTGATAGGATTGGTGTCCTTGTAAGAAGAGAAAGAGACATCAGAGAGCTTTCTCCCTCCCCACATGCACACAGAGGAAAGCCCATGTGAAGATCCAACAAGAAGGTATCCCAGGAAGAGAGCGCTCCCAGAAACAAACCCTGGCACCTTGATCTTGGACTTCCATCCTCCAGAACTGTGAAAAAATAAATGTCTTTTGGTTTAGCCACTCAGGCTTTAGCCACCACAGTATTCCATTATGGCAACCCCAGCAGACTGATACAATGAGCAGGACTGTGCAGTGTATTGTAAAAATGTTTTCTAAACTCACATGCAAGGCGCCTCTAATGAGAGAGATAACAAACGTATCTCCAGAACTGATATTATGTATCTTTTAAAGTTTATCATTGTTCTCCAGTATCAGCATTTTTAAACATTATTAGAGTGTAATATCTATATTTGCATGTGCTTCCTTCCACCATAACACTTATTGCCAGATTTTTCTAACAACCTAGAACAAATTGAACATGTTTATGTTTACCTCTTGTATTTATTTCAGAAATACCATTTACTAACACTTTCCTATGCCTCCACCTTTTGTATTATTTTTTCCAACCATTTCTTTGGAGATTTCATCAAATATTGTGACATCTCAACTGCTTTTTCTAAATTCTTTTCTTCTGTGACCGAGTCTTGCTCTGTCACCAAGGCTGGAGTGCAGTGGTGTGATCTCGGCTCACTGCAACCTCCACTACTTCCTGAGTTCCAGTGATTCTCATGCCTCAGCCTCCTGAGTAGCTGAGATTACAGGCATGCATCACCACGCCGGTTTTTGTATTTTTAGTGGAGACAGGGTTACACGATGTTGGCCAGATTGGTTTCGAACTCCTGGCCTCAAGCTATCCACCTGCCTCAGCCTCCCAAAGTGCTGGGATTACAGGTGTGAGCCACCGCGCCCAGCCATGCTTTTTCTAAATTCTTAAGTACTATGTTTTTAAAAAGTTCTATAAATTTTACATTATATACACTTTTTAGGCAGTTTAGATTATTTTTCATTTTACCTTAATCATTAAGATACCCTGAAAATAAGTTTTCTGTTTCATAAGCCTGTTAGATTCTAATGTCTCATCTTTCATCATATTCATCATATTCAGACCCCACTCCTATGTTGTAAGAAGATCCATATTGACAAAATTTATGTGCTTATTCCTGTAATGTATAAAATCTCTAAAACAGTATATTTCATTTTCACCAGTAAATCCTGAAGTAATAAAGAAATTTGCCACTAGTTACATTATCCATCCCCAAGGCATTTGTATAGAAAAGCTTTAAGGCAGGCTGGTAAACTGAATGGCAAGATGGTCTGAATTTATTTTCAGAATCATGCTGTAGGGTCACAATGAAATATTCCATTCCTAGTCTCTCTTGTACATTTCCATTTTCTATTACCTTATTGTTAAAAACCATCCAAATATTCTTGATTGATTGAAATCCAGAAAGGAAGACAATGTTCATGGACTTTTCGCAGTTATAGTGCCAGTTTAAAGCAACTCTCTAAGATTTTTTAATCTGTAAGTAGAGACTTAAAAAACTTTTTAAAATACCAGTTACAATGTTCAGATTTACTTTAGTACAAGTTATTTTATATAAGGAATTTAAACACATCATAAATTGGGACAAAACCCATTATTTGAGAAAGATTGTCATTCACTGAGCTCATTAAGGGCATAACCTTAATTTTCTGCCTGTCGTCATTTACTGATGTTTGCTAAATCAGAGAGTATGACTTTGCCCCCATTCATACAATCTGGTGTGATTATTTTGACTGCATATCATCATGTATGTGAGACTCATGCCAACATGAGTCTCTCTCTCACACACACACACAAAACCAGAACAAGAACACAAACCTACACTGACGTCTCATTACCTCTCCGGTCAAATCCAAACTTCTCATGAAAGACAAGTAAAGCCTTCTCTTACCTCCCCTCACCCTCCACCCCTTTTATTTTCCTCCACGGAAGCTTGTGCTCCTACCGGACCCTCTTCCTTCTTGCTGTTCTTTGAGTGTGATATTCGTTCCATGTTGCTTTCAGAGTAAAATCAGAATTCCTTAGTATGATTTGCCAACTTCTCCCCAGCCTCACCCCTGCCTGTGTCTCCAACCTCATCACTCACTGTCCCCTGGCACACAAACCTCCCTCCAGCCAAACCGAGGCACTGGAGAAGTGTGTCTCTTCTCTTTCCTCCACACCCTCACCAAATGATTCCCTCTGCACAGAATGGCCTTCCCTCCTACTTGCTCTGGCTAATCTCTTCTTGTTTTAAGATTCCTCTTAGGTGCATACGCTTTTTGTTGTCCTCTTATTTTTCCTCCACTGTGTCATACAGCCTTCCTCTGAGATCAATTAGCACGCCATGTTTAGCTCTAGTATGGTATTTGTTGCACTGTATGTGTGACCTTTAACTCTAGAACAGGGACTGTGTCTTTTATCTAAGTGATGAAGATGAGTGGAACGGTGCATGTTTATGGAACTCATACCAATAATGTGCCTTCATTTATATTTTTCCTTCTTGCCTGAAATCCTTTTGTCAAAGCATCCCAATCTTTCTTTTTAATAAAAATCTCATTCAATCTTTATCTCTCTATAAACCCCTTTCCCTTCTCTCTTTTCCTAGAGCAAGTGAGTTGTACCTTTATGTATTTTCTGAAGGTCGTTTATAGCCAAATCAGACTGGAAGATTTTCTAGATAGAAAGCGCATCTTTGTACTTCTGCACAGTCTTATGCCAGGCATGTAGAAAGTTCCTAATACTCACTGATTAATTTGCCTGAATGGGGAATAAAACACTTTGGAAATAAGGCAAAAGGTTGACTCCTTCAAAAGAATAATGACCTGTACAGGGTCATGACACCATTTTAAAATAAAATAATTCCCTTTGTTTAGCAGAAGCACTATCATCATCATCATCATTATTTTCCAAATAAAACACATCTATCCTGAAGCTAAGAAAAGCAATAAGACTAGTGACATGCTTTGAGCGCATTTATTAGTCAGAACACTGTTCTATTACATGCTCAAGTCTTTAATATGCATGAAACAATATTCTCTGATGCAACAGATGATTAAAGAAATATATTAAAGCATTCATTCTGAATGAAAATACATGGACAAGGTAATTCCCAAGGCTCAGAGCAACTACAGGGAGGAATATAAGCTGAAGTAGGTCATTTCTCCCCAGAGAAATTCTATGGAGATTGCTTTCAATTTTGGGTTTTAAATCTAAGAATTTGCTGTATAGAGAACTGAAAAATAAGGTTTCTGGCTTGTTCATATGCAAGCTCTGGGTTTTCCTTTTTTTACAGGGGTGGAGAAGGGCCTTTTCTTCTCTCTTCTATGAAGACCACTCATTGACGACATCATCGCAGGTCTGGTTTACTATCCGAGCTCCAGGAGCCTCCTATTTGCCATGTAAGACTCTACTAGCTAGCTAGTGTCCTTGGCTAAGCCTCTTGACCTTTCTGGTTTTTTAATTGACAAATTAAAATTGCATATATTTGTCATATACAACATGACATTTTGAAATATGTATGTATACATTGTGGAATGGCTAAGTCGAGCTAATTCACAAATGCATTACTTCACATACTTAGCATTTTCTGTGGTCAGAACATTTAAATCTACTCTCTTAGCAATTTCTAAGAGAGCAATCCATTGTTACTAACTATAGTCACCATGTCAGCCTCTTGACCTTTCTGAACCTCAGGTTTTCTCTTTCATGTAGGAACAATAACATATTTTCTTATTTCACATTGGAGTAGAGCTGGGAGGTCAAATAAGATAAGGAGTTAAAAATTTTCAAAGCAAATTCAAAGGCAAGGTATTACAATTCATTTATTCCCACAGTTTGGGATACTGCAAATTAAACTTATATGCAGAACATCTGTAATATATCATGAGACCAGTGCCAATATATGTTCAATGCAGGCTGAATGCAAAATCTGCTTTGCTTATCTAGAGGCAGAAGTATCTTCATACACTAGCTGGCAGCCTTGACTGGGAATATGAAGTCCTGAGTTGTACTCTTCTTTAAACCAATCAATCAACAAGTATATATTGATTCACTGATATTCACAGGCAGATAGGGTAGGCATTGAATAGAATTTTCCCAGCCTCCAGAATAATAATACATATTTGAAGATGTATGGCAATGTATGTGTGTCAATTTCAGTAAAAACCCACCCACTGCAGTCATGCAGCACTGGGCAGGGGGATCCAGGAGGGTGGAGAATGGAGCATTTGAGCTGGAACAAGGGAATAGAATGTGGCAGTTTGCTAGGGCTGCCCTAATAAAAGTCAGCAGTACCCCTCTATGCCAGGGAGATGCATTCCAAGACCCCCAGTGGATGTCAAAACCAATGATAATATCGAATCTTATATGTGCTGTTTTTTTATCTAATCACCTAGATGGCTCCCAAGTGACTAACAAGAGGGTAGCATCAATGGCATGGAGACCGAGGACAAAGGGAAATTGACATCCCAGGCAGGAGAGGAACGGTGGCAGATTGTGACATGCTACACAGAACAGTGTGCAATTTAAGACTCAGATATTATTTATATCTGGAAGTTTCCATTTAATATTTCTGGACCATGGTTGACCACCAAGGAAAGTGAAATGGCAGATAAGGGGGACTACTGTACCCCAGACAGGGTCAGGGGGAGAGGGGGTTAACTGCAGGAAATGTATCACTTCACAGTTTTGGAGTTCAGAAGTCTGAGAGCCAGGTATGGGCAGGGTTGGTGTTTCCTGAGGTCTCTCTCCTTTGCTTGGAGATGGCATCTTCTCTCTGTGTCCTCACGTGGTCATCCCTCTGGGTCTGTGTTCTCATCTCCTCTTCTTATAGGGACACAGTCGTAGTGGATTAGGGCTCACCATAATGACCTCATTTAACCTTAATTATCTCTTTAGTGATCCTGTCTCCAAATACACTCACACTCTGGTACTGCAGGTTGGTACTTTAACATATGAATCTCTTGTGGGGACACAATTCAGCCCAAGACAGACAGGTGTAATTCAAATACTTAGAGGGAAAGGAAGGAAATGTTCCAGGCAGCCGGAAGGTTCAGATGGGTAAAGGTGCATGGGTTTGCAGGGACAGTGAGTGAACCAGCATGATATAGCTCCAATCAACAAAATGCTTCACAGTTACCAGAGGACATTGTTTTACTTAATCCATACAACAGTTCTATGAGAAAGAGATTCTTCTTTACAAATTGGAAAACTGAGATTTGAGTTGCTTGCCTCTCGCCAGTGCCCTTAAGACTTAGTGTGCAAACACATCATCCGGGGATCTTATTCAAATGCAGATTCTTGTTCCTTAGGTTTGGAGCAGGGCCTGAGAATCAGCATTTTGAGTCAGCTGTTTATGCGATATTGATGCTACTCGTCTGTGACCACACCCTGAGTAGCAAGGTACTGAGTAGCAAGGTATTGAGTAGCAAGGCCCAGGTAGGGCAGAGTAGTGGAAGGGTGTGTTTTAAAAGAATATGATAGGAACAGCCTACTAGTTTGGACTTGGCTCTGTGGTATTGTCACAAATCGTGAGTTAGCTTGTATCATCTTGTGAAAATCAAACAGTAGTGATACTTTCCCAATTTATAGAAAAACAAATAAATTAAGTTGATGGAGTTGTCTCAATTAAAAGTTTTCAGCCATAACATTTTCTTTAAAAATTTAACACATTAACTAAAATGAAAATTCAAGAGGCAGGAAATTTCCAGGAAAAAAAAAATTTGGAAGCAGCCAGCTGTGCTTAGTTTGACAATATGTTCTTAAGAGAGATGTGCTCATGTCTGTGATTTGTATATTACATGCAATAGAAAATTCTCCTCCTACAGATATTATTCTTAATGTGCTTAATGGAATTAAATATATCAGTACTCCATGCGGTTCTGCAGCACCCAGACGTCCAGGTAAATAAGCTGGCAATGACTCTATAGGAGGAAGACCAGTGAGGTTTATTGACCAAGGTGTGGTTTGGGGAGGCTGGCTGTGGGAGCATATGTAGGATGGGCGAGAGGAGGAAGAGAGGTTGAAAGCAAAATAATTCAGCATGAGGTTATGAAGCTCTGGGCAACAGTGGTAATAAAAAGCAGAGGATGGAGGCTGAATCATCCAGCTTGGGGCCCTGGAGTTCAGGCTGAGTTCAGTCTTCCAGGCTTTATGTGTCAAAGGCATGAATGAAGTACCATCCGCTCATGCTTATCAAGAAGCTTCAACTAAGAAACTGGGCCAGGCACAGTGGCTCACACCTGTAATCCCAGCACTTTAAGAGGCTGAGGCTGGAGTATCAGTTGAGCCCGGGAGTTCAAGACCAGCCTGGGCAACATGGTGTGACTGTGTCCCTACAAAAAATTTAAAATAAATTATCCAGGCATGGTGGTGTGTGCCTGTTGTCACAGCTAGTTGGGAGGCTAAGGTGTAAGGATAACTTGAGCCCAGAAGGTCAAGGATACAGTGAGCCATGTTTGTGCCACTGCATGCCCACCTGGGTGACAGAGCAAGACCTGTCTCAAAAAATAAACCATTGAAACAAACAAACAAAAAGAAACCAACATTGAAGAAAATGGCTTAAGAAGATTTTAAGATCCATTACCAACTCATGGTCAGAACTACCTTGGAAAACAAATATATTGAAAATACTCTTATAACTAACTGTAAATCTACTTTCTAAATTACTATTTCCCTAGTTGTCGTAAGATAGGCTCCACAGAAAAAGGGAGTGGGAAGATTCAGAAGAGGCATCCATGATCAATTAAATTTGGAAAATGATAGATATCATAGCCCCTCTTTAGAGATTTGCCATGCACATTTGTTTATTAAAAGTTCTGAGAGTCCCACTATTAAAACACATATACACTAAAAACTCTGTTGAGCTCTAAGTCAACTGGCCAGATAATCTTGTTTTAATAAATACTCCACTAATATCATGCTCAACTAGTGTTCCAAGGAACACATCTTAGAAAACACTGTTGTGAATCAACTAGCTAAATAAATACTTTTGTTCTTTGTAGTTTGTAAACTCTTACATAATGCCTCCACTTAACAATTTGGGAGAAAAATTGATCATTGTGTAAAATTTTGATGAAGAAAGGAGATGGCAGAGAATGCTGACTTTCTGCTCAAACTCATGGGTCTCAAAATCCTTACACTGATGATACATCTTCCCTTTGAACTTTTAGTTGGTCAGTTATTTATTATTCAACCCATAGTTATTATTTACTTCTGAGCAAGGCATTGTTCTTGGCACTTTGGTGGCATCTAATATAGCACAGTCTCTGTGCTTAAAAACATAAGAAGAAATAAAAGAGGTCTATAAATAACTCTAACTGGGAGCCTAAGAGA
This sequence comes from Homo sapiens, assembly GCF_000001405.40. NCBI lineage: Eukaryota > Metazoa > Chordata > Mammalia > Primates > Hominidae > Homo > Homo sapiens. The sequence goes on along the minus strand of NC_000006.12, from coordinate 8,374,804 downwards.
GGAAAGAAGAAAGTCGATGGGATTTTGGAAAGGGATAGATCATAGCCAGTCAAAAGGATCAGAAGAGGCTTTATATGCAGGTAGCTCATGAATGAGAAGATTTTGGCAGATAGGAGTGAAAGAGGGTAAAGGTAAATAGTATACCTTATCATCCAAACCCACATGCTTTTAAGAGTGAAAGGGGGTGTCATTGATGGTGCCACTGACTCCAGGAAGACAGGCATAAGCTGGTCAATTCAGGTTACGGAGAAGAAACAAGTCAGTTCACTGGTAGAGATCCTAGGGAGGGCAGAGAATTAGGAATGATCCAGCCAGGCTAGGGCATTAGGCAGGGTATCTGGACCCCAGCTCCCTCCAGGGCTCATCTTCTACCCTCAGTATGAAAGGATAGATATGACAGGCCTTGGCACCTGCTTATATATGAGAGGAAGGAAAAGTGGGGAATCTACACAAATGGTGAAACTGCCTTTGCAAAAATTATGACAGTGAGAGAAATCTGACATAGAAAAGTTAGGACAGTGAAAGGAATCTGACCTAACTGACTCCATCTTTCTTCTAACCTCCAAGTACTCCTTGTTCATTCCTGGGCATATGCCAAGCTAACTGTGGGAGGAATTTAGTTTAACCTTGAAATAAAGATAGTAACAGCTTCTTCCCAAAACTAACCCCCTCCTTGCTGAACGACCAAAACTGCCTTTGTAAAACTAAGAAATTAGCTACAAGGTTAGAATTATGGTTCAGGAGCCACGTAGCCAGAAGTCACAAGATTTGTAACCTCCCCAGTTGCTCTTATAGATAACATCACTATTGTAAAATTTAAGATTGGTGTTTGAGATATTTTTTAGACCATGCATTCTGATGACCAGCTGGCACCACCTGGTTTGGTAAATTGGCTCAATTGGTCTTGTGATCCTACCCAGGAACTGAAAATAGTAAGAAGACAGCTTTGACCTCCTATGATGTCATCTCTAACCCAACCAATCAGCATTCCCTATTCCCTAGCCCCCTGCCTGCTAAATTGTCCTTGAAAAAACCCTAGTCTCCTAAATTTTCAGGGAGTCAGATTTAAGTAGTAACTCCCATCCTTCTGTTTAGCTGCCTTGTGATAATTAAACTCTTTCTCTACTGCAATAGCGCTCTCTTGGTGAATTGGGTTTATCTGTGCAGTGGTCAAGAAGAACCTTTTGAGCAATTAGAATACCAAGACAGAATCCTCCAAACAGTGTTCCTGAGAAATGCTTTTCAGGAACACCCTTGTTCCAGATGTTTGTCAGATCCATTGAGAAACACTGTAGTCTAGACCTCCTCTTGACAGTCTTTAAAAACGTGTTTGAGAGTGCACATTTAAAAAAAAAAAACAAGTGAACTTATGAACATCTTACTGGAGCCCCCTTTTACCAGTTGGCAAGAGCTGACAGTTAAATTTTTATTAATTTAGTGAGCCACAATTATTAGTGGCTTGAAATCAACCATGGTGGGGCTGGGTATAACAGACATCAGCAAACTCCTGCCTGCCTGCTTTTGTGTGGCTGCAAGGTCAGAATGGTCTTTACATTCTTAAATAATTGAAAAAAATTTAGAAGATTTTTTTGGGACATATAATATGACAAAATTAAATGAATTTCAACTTTCAGGTCCATAGATAACATTGCATTGGAACACAGCCATGCTTATGCATTTAGGCATTGTCTGTGGCTGCTTTCACTAACAACAGCAGTTGAGTTGTACTTGAAACAGAGACCATGTGGCCTGAAAGCCTGGAACCTGAAAGCCTAGAATATTTACTATCTAGTTCTTTACAGAAAAAGTTTACCAACCTCTGATTTACACTATGGAAAGCAGCAAATACTGTAAATCAGGGCTTTGGGGTGGTGGGTATTTACCAGCACACCACTGGAATATTTTCTTCCAAGAGTTCTAGCACAGGTGGTTAGGGAGATATGAAAAGGATGACTTGGTTAGGGAATGAGGTGGCATCTGGTCTGGGTTATGACAAGACTGAGCTGCTGGGGCTAGACATAAAAATTTAGAACCATGCACACAGACGTGATTGTCAAGGAAGTGTGGGCTGAGGAGATCTGAGGGCAAAGCTGTGAGTGAGATCAAAGTTTGGGGAGTTTGGCTGAAGGTGAAATAAAAAGGTACAAGGAAAACCAGGCTGTGCTCAGCATGTGAGAAGTATTTGAAGGAAGGATGAGAAAACCCATTTGACTTGGTGATTATGTCGGTTTTTTGGGTGATTTGAGCCAGATTTCAAGGCAACTAAGGAATGGTGAAGAGTCAACAAGCATGAAGTGATGATAGCTTGAAGGAGAAGGTAAGTTTTTTAACAACAAAATAAATAATATTTGTTTGTGGGAATATCTGAGTTGGCTTGAAGTCTGAAAGGAAATAGGGAAATTGTTGACGAAAAGGAATACTTGAAGTAAGAGGTGAGACAGATGATGGAGCAGGTCTCAGGGAAAGTGGGGACAAGATGAGTATCAGTGGTGGTGGAGGGGTTGTTGGAAAGCAGACACTTCTTCCTACAAGACAGGGGAGGGGAGAGAAGGAGGGAAAGGCAACATAAGGAAAACTGAAGGTGGAGAGGGTTGGAGTTGAGCATTTCTGCATTGTCTTAAAGAAATGACAGGTGAGTGATTTGTAGGAAGGGAAGATGTGAAGAGTACAGCTTGGAGTTCCAAGTGAATGGAGAGGGAGACAGTGGGCAGATGTTAGTCAAATCCATGGAGAAACACTGTGGTCCAGACCTCCTCTTGACAGTCTTTAAAAATGTGTTTGAGAGTGCACATTTTTTAAAAAAACAAATGAACCTATGAACATCCTACTGGAGCCCCCTTTTACCAGTTGGCAAGAACTGATAGTTAAATTTTTATTAATTTAGTAAGCCACAAGTATTAGTAGCTTGAAATCAACCATGGTGGGGCTGGGTACAACAGAGATCAGCAAACTCCTGCCTGCCTGCTTTCATATGTGCATATGTGTGTGCACCACTGATATTATGTTATCCATTCCGGATACAAGCCTGCTTTTCAACCAACAGGGGAACTCTGTGCATCAATATCTGAAATACCATACTCCTTAGTGGAAAAAGAAGAGGAGGGATGCAACAAATGCTTGTGGATTGATTTTCTAAGACCTGAACAATGAAGGCTTTAGGAAGTAACCTAACCTACCCATCATTCATAAAGTGATTGGCACCAGGCTGACCTCAGAAGCCACAAAGATGGATATAGACACAGTCTCTACCCTCAGGAAGCTCACAGTCTAGCCCAAATTTGAGTTCAAGCATTTGCTCAGGTCTTCGATGGTTTACCATAGAATTTAGCACTCTAGAGAAAAAAAGCCGTCAGCAGCACAAAGTATGTAGGAATAGCATTTGTAAATTCCTTGATGGCAAAGCTGGGCATTGTGACACATGGACCACCTAGATTGTAGTTTTAGACTGCATTTTATTACATATTAAATAATGGCAAGTTAAATTTATTAACTTGCACTGCAACTCACCGAAGCTGTTTTTAAAATATGCTATTTATGTGAATAATGCCATCTTTATCTTTACTATGCTGGTCCTCTCCACTGTAAAACAGTTTTCTGTGTGCTTCAGAAAAATGGCACAGTAGAAAAGTTAATGGAAAATAGCCCTAAGAGTGAATCATGAATTAAGATTGGCTATAAAGTGCCTTCTGATTTCAAAAAAAAATATGTATCTGGACCATTAAATGGTATATTTAAATAAATAAAAATCTGTCCAAATACAGCCTCATCCTACAAATATCTGGCAAATAAAGGAAACACAAATATTAAGTTTCAAATATAAAATAAAAAGGAAATGTAAAATATTTACAATATTAGCCTATAATAACAAGTGATTTCCAGTTAACCAAAGACCCACTCTCTTTTTTCCCTCAACGAGAAAACAAATGTATTACCTATTTTTTAAGAAAGCAGTTTAGACATGCCATAACTTGGAGGGGGGATACCCCTGTTTTGGGTGCACCATTGTGTATTATAATTTAAACCATGAAGTGTTCAAGTGGCAATCCTGGATCTTTCCAGACCAAAATTCAACACGATACATTAAATACTGGTGAGATAACAAAATTGCTTTTAGTATTCATAATTTCGATCTCTCTGGGGTGCTATTGCCAGTGCCTTTTTTTTTTTTTTTTTTTTTTTTTTTTTGAGACAGGGTCTCATTCTGTCACTCAGGCTGGAGTACAATGGCACAATCATGGCTCACTGAAGCCTGGACTTCCTGGGCTCCTGCAATCCTTCCGCCTCAGCCTCCCAAGGAGCTGGGCCCACAGGCATGGGCCACCACTCCTGTCTAATTTAGTGTTGTTATTATTTGTAGAGACAGCATTTCACCACGTTGGCCAGGCTGGTCTCGAACTCCTGGATTCAAGTGATCCTCCCACCTCAGCCTCTCAAAGTGCTGGGATTACAGGCGTGAGCCACCACACCTGGTCAGCCAGGGATTTTTGAGTTGTGTTCTAATGTAGACAGATCTAACTTGTGCCTATACCTGGGTTGACACCTGGGTTAAAAATTATTTTTATTATTTATGAAATTATTATTTAATAACAGCTTCAGAAATGACAAGTGCCCCAGGACTCCTTGCTCTGTTCTGAGTTAAAAGGCAGCCCCTCTATGTTTGTGTTTTTGCTGTAAAGAGATCTATCACCTATTTTGGTCAGCTGGCTTGTCAGTTTTACACACACACACACACACACACACACAGACACACAGAAACAAATGAGCTCCTCACACTTCATTCATGTCAGAACCCAACAGCTTGAGTAGCGCAAATATTCTGCAGTCACTCATGAAAAGAAATTTTTAATAATAAATATCTAACAATTAATGGGCTGGTAGCTGCAATTGTCTTCAGGGCATAATATCTAATTTCCTTGCAATGTTTCATATCCTTACTTTTCACGCTGCAACAGTCTATCATTAAAACCAAATGCAGGTTTCTATCACTTTTATTTATTTTTCAAATCAACTTATAAATCAGTGCCAGGCCTTGTTACAGATGAGTTCCAATAAATTATCGGCTGTGGACAAATTCTGAATGTTAAACACTTCCTTTCTCTTCCTCCTGCCCTGGGTCCCTGTCTGTCTCTGTCTATTGTTTTTCCTCTCTCCTGCTCTGAGAGGCGATACTTCTCTACAGCCCTCTGGGCCTCCATACCTCACCGGGCATTGCTTTGGGTACAAGTAACAGAGAGCCCTTAGTATTTAATTATGTGCTATTTAAATAATGCAAAAAGACATTTATTTTTTCAGAGAAAAATATCAATATAGGAGACAAGAGTAGCTTTACAGTCCTTGGGAAATTTACCTTTCTCAATTGCAAAAGTGAAAGCACTCTTGTTAGAGGCTTTTTTTACATCCTCCTAGCAGCCTGAGGAGGAATACATGAGGTCTGAGGTCTATTTTTTTTTTTTTAATTGAGATGGAGTCTTGCTCTGTCACCCAGGCTAGAGTGCAGTGGCATGATCTCGGCTCACTGCAACCTCCGCCTACTGGGTTCAAACAATTCTCCTGCCACAGCCTCCCGAGTAGCTGGGACTACAGGTGTCCAGCTAATTCTTTGTATTTTTAGTAGAGATGGGGTTTTGCCATGTTGGCCAGGCTGGTCTCGAACTCCTGACCTCAGGTGATCTGCCCGCCTTGGCCTCCCAAAGTGCTGGGATTACAGGTGCTAGCCACCGCACCCGGCCGTGAGGTCTATTTTTCACATACCTCAGTCTGTGATGAAGCCCATCTGCCTTTGTCAAACTGCCTTGTCACCTCTAAGGAGTCCTTTTGCATTCCTTGACAGGCTCCTGTGCAGTCTCCCTGGAAGAGTCTATGGTCACAGCTTCTGGCTTTCTGCTCCCACAGACATGAATATACAGGAACATACAGAACATACAGGAGACATGAGACACCCTTCCCATAAAACTAAGGAACAAAGATTCTAAAGAGACACAGTCTATTAGGATAACTCACGACTGTCTCATGCTTACTTAAACTTATGCACACATTCACAAAGTTTGTCTGAAATACTCATGTCTTAGCTGCAAACTAAAAATAGTGCTTTAAGATCCCACAAACAGTAAGACCTTTTATTAAAAGCTACTTTTAACTTGTCGCATTGTCAGTAGACAATACAGTGCATTTTACTTTATTACCTATCTTGGCCATAATTTTGACTACTGATCCATTGTATGGTAGATAAGAGTATGTAGAGACTTCTTGAAATTGTTCATTTGACAAACTCAAGAAAGCTCTCTCAAATGTCATCTGTAAAAACTCTGAAGTTCCAGTAGGTTTCTGGAATGGATTTCTAATGTTCTTTTATTTTTTTTAATGTTTATTATTGTTATTATTATTTTAGGACAGAGTCTCCTGCTGTCACCCAAGCTGGAGTGCAATGGTACGATCTTGGCTCACTGCAACCTCTGCCTCCCAGGCTCAAGCGATTGTCCTGCCTCAGCCTCCCAAGTAGCTGGGATTATAGGCACCTGCCACTGCTCCCGGATAATTTTTGTGTTTTTAGTCAAGACGGAGTTTCACCATGTTGGCCAGGCTGGTCTTGAACTCCTGACCTCAGGTGATCCACCCACCTCAGCCTCCCAAAGTGCTGGGATTACAGGCGTGAGCCACCGCGCCCAGCCTGTTCTGTTTTTTAATATTTAGTAAAGTCTTCCTAATGGAAGTCTACAAACACATGGGTACAGGGACCATGTGACAAGCTGGGGTCTGGAGGGTAATCCTGGAAAGGCTAGGGATAGTTCCCAATTATTAATAGAGCCCTGTGAGGCTTCACCAATGAGATACGAAGTGAAGAGCTGGGCAGGATGCCCCTTGCCTTTCCTCCCTAGGACTCCAAGTTTCTACCTCAAGAATCACGTATTTGAGTGAAAGTGTTCCCTTCAGAAAGTGCACCTGGGAGGGCCCATTCCAGATACGTGGGGCCTCTTTCATCTTGCTACAAAACCCTGCCCGCACCTGCAATGATTTTTATTTTCATTCTCCATTCCACTAGTGTGAAGACTCTTTGAAACAGAGAATGTGTTTATTCATTTCTGTTTTCCTCACAGTGTCTTAGCACTGGGCATAGGCATTGCTTGGTGTTCCGGATAGGACTGGTATATTTGACAGGGAAATGCAGTAAAAAATCTGGAGGATGTTCTAGTTGATTTTGTAGGTGAGAAGTACTGGCCATCTTGGAGGAAAATGGGAGGAGCCCATATCAAACACTGTCATTTTATCATTTTGACCACGGCTAGCCTTTTACTTGCAATATATTAAAAAAAAAATTCATTAAACGCATGTCTGTCAGCCATTATGCCTAAAATGAAGATGGACAAAACAAAATCCTTGCCTTCCTGTAGATTAGAGCCCAAAGCAAGACACAAGTGAATAATCACAAAGCAGTCTTTTCCATGCTGTGCTGTAGGCTTGTACACAGTGACATTGGAGAAAAGATGACAGGGAGACTTGAAGAGAGAAGTAATGATTCAGCAAAGGAGAGAGACCTGACCTCAGTCTTAAAGAACACCTGGAGCTCAAATGATTGGCCAGAAGACAGATGGACAACTCGGGGAAATCACACACACAAACACACACACGCCACTGCATGATCATGTCCAAGCCCAGCCCACGTCTATCTCCTGAGCCTCACCTGCATATTTCACTGCCCATTGGACATCTTCATTTGGATGTCCCATAGGCATTTTAAGATTAACTTAACCAAAATTGAGCACACAGTTTTTTCCCCCAAACCAATTTCCCCTCCTATCTACCTTCCCCACTGGAGGGAACCAATATCCACCCGGTTTCCCAAGCCATAAGCCTGGAGTCTTCCTTAATTCTACTCTTCTCTCTCTCCTCCAACACCAAATCTATCATCAACTTCTATAAATTCTACTATCTAGGTATTTTCAAGCTCATCCATTTTCCTAATTCTAAAGGCCACCACTAACTTTCATCTAGGCTACTGAAGCTACTCATAATGAGTCTCCCTGAATCTATTCTTGACTACTTCCACCTCCAAGTCATTTTCCATCTTGGAGAGGGGAAAAATGTTTTTGATGGTATTGTGTCAAGTCCTCACACTTTCACATAGGCCATAGGGCCTGGATGACCACGTCTGAGCTTCCCCACCAGCCGTGACACTGTCAACCAGCCCTACTAAACTTTGTTTGGCTCCTTGACTTTACAGGCTCTCTATTGTTTACAAGCATTGTGTAAGTGCTTCTCTCTGCCTGGAACATTTACATCCCCACTTCCTGCCCCATCCCTACCCCAGCCTCCCTAGCTCCTACTTATCCTTCTGGTCTCAGCATAGACCTCATTTCCACCATGAAGCTACCTTTGATTCTTCAGTTACAATGAGGAGCCTTCCTTGCACTTTCACGATACCCATATTTTTCTACTCAATCCATGATTCTATAATAGATTCAATGCTGTCTCAATTCCCCACTAGACCGTGAGCCCCATGAGCTTTGCTCACTGTTGAATTCCCAGTGCTCGGTACCTAGCAGGTTCTTCATAAGTACTACTGATGCCCAAAAGAGAGGAAGGAAGGGAGGGAGAGAAATGTGAGAAAATTAGCTTTTTTTGGCAAACTGAAATAACTACAGTAATGCATTAGGGGGAGTGGAAGGGATGAAACTAAGCCAGTAGATCCTGCCTTGTGGACAGATAACAGGAATATATTTGAAGTCACTCAGAGGTACAACTGAAACTTGCAAGCATAAAATGATGCCTTTAGATGATGCCTATCATTTCCAGAAGAAAATTTAATATGAAACCCACCGGGGAGACTGAATACACAACTGCTGGAGAATTTGAGAACAAAATAAGAGAATGATTAAGTCACGTGGTAGATACTGTAAGTTCAACAAAAGTTCCTAGAGGGGGAATAACAGAGTTGGAACCAACATGGAAGCAATGTGACTTGTTCGGCCTTGAGTAGGGCGTCTGGCTCAGGAGCTGGAGCAACGCATCATAACAACAATAATAACAACAGCAACTAATTAGATTGGGAACCATGTGCCTACCGTTTATACCAAGCTCCTTTAGAACTACAGCCCATGAGGCAGGCATTATCATTCTCCCTCCCCTACTTTATAACTAGAACACCTGAACATTGGACGGGTCATGAATGGTTGAGTTAGTTCTCAAACCCTGATCTGTCTGTCCACAAAAGGACATAGCTTGGCCACTTGGCTGCAATGCCTGTAGTATGTAGAGTGTAGACTTTGCTGAAAGGCAAAGCAAACTTTATCTGTCAGCTCCTGAGTTTGTATCTCAGCTCCACCACTGCTGTGGGATTTGGGGGAAGTTGCTAAACTCCTCTGAGTCCCCAGGGAATAACTTCTCTTGTCCCCATTTCACAGATTCCCAGAGCTCCCTATAAAATGGGGATAATAATACCTCTTTTTCAAACTTGATTTGAAGATTAATTAATGTCATATTTCTAAAGCCCTATCATGGTGCCTGATACATTGGAGGCACACAATGTACAATAACTATTTCTAGAACAATTTGACAAGTGGATAGGATTTGGTTACACAGTACGTAGGGGAGGCTTTTCAGGCTGAGAACACATTACGAACTAAGGTATTAGTGATACATCTCTGTGCAGAGGGAGGATGGATACCTGCCCCACTAGAACAGAGCTTAGAGAAACATACAAAAGTCATGGGGCAGGAAGAACTGATAGCAAAGAGAAATGAGGCTGAGAAGCCAAAGGGGAGGCAGAAACAAGACCAGGTTCACAGAACTTTGGGGAAACCAAGAAGGAAGAGTGAGGTCTTAGCCCATCCTGGCTGCTGTAACAAAAATACCAGTCTGGGTGGCTTAAACAAGTTTCCACAATTCTGGAGGCTGGATGACCCAGGATCAGGGTGCAGCAGATTCAGTGTCTGGTGAGGGTTCTCTTCCTTGTTGTAGATGGTGCCTTCTTGCTGTGTCCTCATACGGAAGAAGGGGCAAGGAAGTGCTGTGTCCTCATATGGAAGAAGGGGCAAGGAAGCGCTCTGCCCTCTTGCTGTGTCCTCATATGGAAGAAGGGGCAAGGAAGCGCTGAAAATATGAATTTTGGACAGATACAAACATTCAGTCTATAGCCAGATAGCTAAGAAATTTGACCATCAGCAGAATCAAGCACCAGAGCAAAGCAAATGAAAATGAAGACAGAGGAGACACCATCAAATTTGAAAGTGAGGAAGTCCATGGTGAAGTTTCAGAGAAATTTCAAATTGGAGAGGCAGAAATCACAAAGGTAGAATGTATTTAAATATTCTAACTAATTTTAAGAAAACCAGTTTGCTTTTTTCCAACTCCTGATAAAGAAAGAGAAGCGAGAGCTTTTACACCAGATTTGTCCGGGATTCTGGCTGGTGTGCTCAGCTGGTCCTGTATGCAATCCGGGCACACAACAAGGGCAGTAGGGAATTCCTGTCACCTGTGCAGGCCCTCTCAGGTACCACAGAAAGAGCAGCTGCCTGAGTTTCCCCATTACTATCCTGACCTACTCATTTTAATAGAGGACACTCACATGATTAATGTCTACGGTGAGGACCAAGAGCCAAGAACTCCGCATGCAGTGTCTCTTGGAGAAATAGGTTGCATATGTTAATCCTAAATCCCAGAGACGGAAGGCAATTGTGTTTGATTAACTAACCCACTAGCACAGTCTGCAAATAGAACCAGGAAGAAAAAATATTTTTAAGTTCTACCAGCAAAGAGATCTTGTGGGTTTATTTCCCTCAAGTGCATGACTTTCTTAATAGAACAGAAAAGCCAAAAGTGCCTAATTGCAGTTTAATGTAAGATGTATTTATTGAACCTTCCCCCATAGGCCACTTCCCCACAGTGTGTGTGGGATTCCCTGAAAAGCGGTAGGCCTTTGCTATTTGGAGAACTTCTGCCATGGTTGAAACAGGTTCTCAAAGTACAGCATCTATACCCACCACACCTGGGGGAGTTAGGACTGCTGAACAGCTGTGGTTCAGGGTGGTGCTGGCCATGTGTAAGGAGTTGCACCTTCCATTTTTCAGCAATCTGTACTCATCCAACTTACTGAAAACACAGTTTTTCCATATTTTTTCCATTTTGAAAATTAAGTGAGTAAACTTTCATCTTGCTTTGAGTTTCCAAAACCAGGACTGGGAATCTGACATCTGACTCACCTGACATCTTGAGGCTGAGGGCTGTGAAACTGGAATTCGGTCTACGTGCTGGTCACTTAAAAATATTCAGCAACTCCGTCTCCACTAAGCTAGAGATGCCTTAACTGGGGAAATTAGAAGGAGTAAATAATTATGTGCTCTTACATGAGCTAGGGAGGATAGAAAGTTATTTACTCTGAAATGACTCTCAAACTTTCTGTTACACACTTTAAATTCAATGTCAGAAGATTTCACACCTGGCTCCTAGTGTATAGCCTTTACTCAGGAAAACAAAAGACTCTGAAACTCTCCAAATCCCTCCAGCTCACTTCTGATGAAGCACATCAGCAGGGGAGGCAAGGAGAATGTTACACATTTTAGAGGGAAGGGGAAAGGAGGCAAATTACCAAAGTAAATACCTAGCAGCTCATTACTGTTCCACTTGCTTTTTCTAGGAGGCATTATTAAGAGAATGAAGGTTAACATTGATTCAGTTTCCAGTGTTTAATTTGAACACCAACAACATTCAATAAGTTTAACCGTTTATTGAACACTTACTATGTGCCATGTTCTGACAGACAGATACAGTCTCTCTCTTTATGAGGGAGATTGTTAATTGAGTAGATACTACATGTCAGGCAAGGGAAAATGTATTAAATCCTGGAGCCTCTGTCTAATGCAGGAGGCTGGAAACAAACTCATAATTACATAAATAATTGCATTTGTGTATAATGTTATGAGGGAAAACTACAGTTGACAATGAAAGTGCAACACAGGGAGACTTTATCTTTTTTGCAGGTCTGATAAGGCTGATGAAGGACCATTTATGCTGAAACCCAAAGGAGGAGGAGTTAGAAGGGCAGCTGCTTCTAAACAAGTGAACAAGGGGACAGTGGTGTGAGATGATGCACGTAGGTCACACGGGGTCTTCTGGGCCATAGGAAAAACTTTGGACATTGTGGGGAAGGGGAACGGCTTTAAGTAGAAGAGTATTTAATCTTTAGGTTTCTACAAGATCTTTCTGGTTTCCAAGCAGAGGATGGAGAGGCGGGTGGGCGTTCCTACAACTTATGGAGATGCAGTAGGGCTTTCTCATTACTCTAAGTGAGGAGGTTCACAGAAGTGAACAGGCTTGAAAACTATTTTGGAAGTGAAATTGACAAAACTTGGTGATGGACAGGCTGAGGGGAGATGAAGAGTGCAGAGAATGACACCTTGAGTTCTGGAATGAGCAGCTGAGTAGATAGTGGTGGCATTCACCAAGGTAGTAATGCTGAAAAGGAACAGACTGGGGGAAAAGATCACGAGCTCCATTCTGAACACAGTGAATTCTAACAGTCTGTAAGTGGAAGTGTGATGGTTAATTTTGAATGTCGACTTGATTGGATTGAAGGATGCAAAATATTGTTCCTGGGTATGTCTGTGAGAGTGTTGACAAATGAAATTAACATTTGAGTCAGCGAACTGGGAGACACAGACCCACTCTCAATCTGGGTGGGCACCATCTAATCAACTCCCAGTGTAGCTAGAATAAAGCAGGCAGCAGGCAAGAGAAGATGGAAGGGCAGAGTAGCTGAGTCTTCCAGCCTTCGTCTTTCTCTCGTGCTGGATGCTTCCTGCCCTCAAACATCAGACCCCAAGTTTTTCAGCTTTTGGACTCTTGGACTTGCCAGGGGCTCTCGGGCCTTTGGCCACAGACTAAAGGCTGCACTGTTGGCTTCCCTACTTTTGAGGTTTTAAAACTCGGACTGATCCACCACTGGCTTCCTTGCTCCTCAGCTTGCAGACAGCCTATCATGGGCCTTTATCTTGTTATCATGTAAGTCAATTGTCCTTAATAAGCTCCCTTTCATATATACATATATCTGATTAGTTCTGACCCTCTAGAGAAATCTGACTAATACAGGAGGTGTTGACTAGAGACATGGATTAGAGTTTGATATGTGAGTGTGGAACTCATTGGAGAAGTCTAGGCTGAAAATATATGAGGAGTCACCAGAGTGCATGTGATAACTGAACTCAATGTGTCACTGATGAAGAGAAGGTGGAGTGAGAAGATCGTGGGACCAAGAGTGGAACTCAAGAACTCCGTATTTAGAGGTCAGATAGGATGAGGTGGTGGCAGCAGAACTGAGCTAGGGCAGGCAATGGAGAAACAGGGAGAGATGCGGTGTCAGCAAAATCAGGGGGTAATATTTCAAAAAAGTGGAAGCGGTCAAATGTGTCAAAGGCTGCTTGGCGGTCATGTAAGATGAACGCAAGTTTTCATCGGGATTTCATAACCGGGGATCATTAGAACCTTGAGGAGGACCATTTCTGTGGGAGTAGAAATGGAAATTGTAAACAACTGAAAAAAATTTATTATGAAAATGTCAAGCCTATAAAAGTGAAAAAAAAATTGTATCATGAGCCCTAATCCAGCCAGAACTCAGATTCAGTCATTATCAAGCTCTTGCCACACTTGGCTTCATCTATCCTTTTGTTGCTGTTTGTTCCTCCATTGTGCATGTTTGCTGTTCGACCGCTCACTCATTCATTGATTCACTCTACACATATTTGCCAGCATTGTTGACTAGTTGCTGTGAGGCATTTGTACTTCTTTCACCTTAATTACCCACATCATGCAATTGCAAGATGAATGGCTAATCTAGTGGTATCGTCCACGACTTTCTTTTAATATGAAGTCAGAAATGCCAATAGAGGAGATTGCTTTATTTTACTTCTGTGTATGATCTTCATACACCATAGATTTTCTAACCTCTGCCCCTTTACCCATACCATTTCCCTTGCTGGAATTACCTATCCTTGAAAGCCCCCATCTATTAAAATTCTCCCCAGTGCCAAAAAGATAATACTATCTTTTCCAAGAAGACTTTTCTGACCACTCCAACCAGAAGACCTTCCTCTACCTACTGAAACCCTATTGTCTTCTTAGCATGCAACCTTTCTGCATGCTTGTGAACAGAGCATTCCTTTTACCTGACTGTGAGCTTCTTGAAATTAGCGTCTTGAAAGTCTTCACATTCACTTTAGTGTACAGTATACTACTAAATACCATCATAGTTTAGTTCTCGATAAACATTTAAGTGGAGAAGTAAAAATGTGTAAAGCACCTTAAGCATATAGTCCTGTGCTAAGCTCTGTATTACCTACTTCTCTTTTGCTCTTTTCTTCCCCCCAAATTTGTTCTAGCCTCTGCAATCAGAATTCATCACAGCCAGGGGAGCAGAGCAACCCTTTTATATAAATTTGTGCATCATTAGATTACTAACCAAATTGATATTTTATATGCATAGAAACGTTTCCCCCTATATGTTAAGGTATTTTAAAGATCATTTTCTTTTACCCCTAGTATCTCTGAAAGATAGACTTTTAAAATTATACATCACCTCCATATAAAAGAGATTTGAAATGTCAATTATGATCAATCCATACAGAACCCAGAAATGTTACAGAAATATGGAAAGTGTGAGTATATAACCCCTAAAGTTCTCCCAACCTAACAATAATCATCATTTGATATGCTTGAACCAGACTTGGCATAATCTGATATACATAAAAGTCACATATTAACCACAGTTAAGAAAACTGATAAAAATATGTAAACATCAGATTCAGCACCAGAATATGGTCTGTAGATGGGACAAATAAATAGGTATAAAATAAAGGCAAACAAAAAGCACTTCAACAACAACTTTATTTAGGCATTGTCTATGTAGCACAGGTAATTTATATTATATATTCCTACATATACCTTCAGAATGGACGCAGAAGATAATAAGATGCTGTATAATTAAAGTAGGTACAGTTTTAGGATTTGCTGAAGTATCCTCAGGGCTGTTCTCAACAGATTTTTTTTTTTACAATAAATTCTTGTGATTTCAATTGTCTGTCTATGGAGGGAAAATAAACAAACATACATGGATGCCATGACACACCTCAGCAGGAACAATGAACTTCTCAGTTATCCTCCCCCTCCCGCTAAAAACCAATTTAATGCACCACTGGAGGTTGCCTATTAATTGGACTAGAAATAAAGTAGCCTATGAGGGTTGACCCAAGAAAAAACACTTTGTGTGTGTGTGTGCGCGCGTGCACATGTGTGTGTCTATAAACATATATAAGTGAGTGTATATATATACACATACACATCTGTGTGTGTATAATATTTCACCCACAAAGTAAACAAGCAACACTAGTACATCATTTTCTAATTACAGGGCTGTTTCATAAACTGTAAATGCTAACATGGGAGAGGTAAATCATAGCAATTTAATTAATAAAACAGTTTAGACACTTAAACCCATATGTGTACCCCTGGGGGCAACACATCAATAAGAGAACCTTGCAGGCATATTTTAGAAATTTTATGCAATCATTTGCAGTTCTTGTAGTCAATAATTATTACAAACTGCATTAACTCTTCTCTTGCCATACCCAAGGACTGAATTTGCATTTGTAAAATGTTCTTTCCACTTTAGATAGCCTCTTAGGGTTGCTAGGAGTGGAGGAGCACAGGGTTGCTTTCCCTGAATTAGCAGGACTAAATGAGGTGAGGGAGCCCCCACTTAGCCAAACAGCAAAATATGGGAAATGAGAATCTGGGGAAGGCAGGGGAAGGATTCTCCCTGTCCTTTCATTAAAGGGGAGTTTAGAAGATAACCAGTGTCAGAGAACGGACATTCAGCACTTGAATTCATGTATTTTTAGATCTTCTTTCTATTTTGACCTTTAAGTTTAGACCTGTAGAACCTTCACACATTGCTGGTGGGAATATAAAATGGTGCGATCACTGTAGAAAACAGTTTAATAGTTTCAAAAAGTTAAATATAAATGTACTATATTCACTTCTATGTATCTACCCAAGAGAAATAAAAACGTAAGTCCACCCAAAAACTTGTACACAAATGTTCATAGTGACATTATTCATAATAGCTAAAAAGTGGACACAACCAACTGTCCATCCATTGTCGAATGGATGAACAAACTGTGGTATATCCATACAGTGGAATACAGTTCCTCAGTACAAAGGAACACATACTGATACGTACTTCAGTGTAGATGGATCTTTAAAACATTATGTTAACGAAATAAGTCAGATACAAAAGGCCACATACTGCATAATCCATTTATATGAAGTGTCCAGAAAAAGCAAAGTCATAGAGACAGAGAGTAGTAGATTAATGGTGCCCAGAGCTGGGGATAGGAACTGGGGTTAACTGTAAACAGGCATGAGGGAGCTTCCAAGGGTGATGTAAATGTTCTGAAACTGGGTTGTGGTGATGGTTGCACAGCTTGGTAAATTTACTAAAACTTATTTAATTGTATTCTTAAAATGGATGAATTTTTATTTTTAAAAATTTGTATTTACTTATTTATTTATTTTTAGAGACAAGGTCTCACTCTGTCACCCAGGCTGGAGTACAGTGGTGGGATCATAGCTCATTGCAGCCTGCAACTACTGGGCTCAAGCAATCCTCTTACCTCAGCCCCTTGAAAGTAGCTGGGACTTGAGGCGCACACCACTACACCTGGCTATTTAAAAAAAAAAAAAAAAAAAAAAAAAAAAAATATATATATATATATATATATATATATATATATATATATATATATGGAGAGAGAGAGAGAGAGAGAGAGTAAAGACAGGCTTTTGCTTTTTTGCCCAAGCTGGTCTTAAACTTTGGCCTCAAGTAATCCCCCCGCCTTGGCCTCCCAAAGTGGTGAGATTACAGGCATGAGCCACTGCACCCGGCCAGTGAATTTTATTACATATAATTATTCTTCAATAAAATTGTTTAAAAATTATGCCTATAATTTTATTGATGTTCTTTATTATTCCTGAAAAATGAAAAAAGAATTAATGTTAAATTCTAGCCATATAAGGGAATCAATAGATGAAGTGTTTTGGGACTGTGTTAACACTAAGCCTCCACAAATGTAGTTTTTTTGGTGATTGTGGTTATGATTGGTACAGTCTGTGTATACTCAGATCCCCAGTTACCAAAGGGTCATTCTTTTCACTTTTGTTGCTCCCACAAGAGAGAAAATAATAATATCTACCATTTATTGAGTGCTTACTAACTGCTATGCATGCTGTATTGCATTAACTTCCTAGTCAATATAATAATCCATATGTGATATTTTAATATCCCCATTTACATGAGTCAGTTAAGGCAGAGAAAAGCTGAATCATCTGCTCCAGTTATGCAGCAAGTGGTGAAGTGGGATTTGGACACAGACAGTCGGCTCCAGGCTGTGCTTTGACCTGCCGCCTTCACTGCTCCTTCTAACAGTAGGGGCTGGGTTCTTCCTTCTAGAATCCGAGATTGATCCTCATCTGCTTGTGAACAGCTTTAAAGGAGGCAAGTGTAGACTAAATAAGCCTCGCTCAAGAGACAGTGTGGAAACACACAAGCCTGCTTGTCAATGTTGGCTGCCTTGGGGAGCCACTCTGCAGAAGAGTGAATGAATGACTATGAACTTCATATCCGCAGGCCTCTCCATTGATTGGCTTGTTATAATTAGCACATATTATTTTTGTAACTAAAGAAAGAAACTAGAAAAGTATTTTTTCTCTGAAAAGGAAGTAAGCAGCTAACAAAGTCATACTTTTTCCAGCTATGGTTGTTTCTAAACTTAACCCAGTTCACCATCTTCAGCAAGAAAAATTGAACAACTGTTTCAATCATGTGGCCTGGCGTTCCTGGAGATTGCAAAAACCTAAAAGAAATCAGACCATGAATAAAATCACTTAATTTTAATAGAAATGGAAAATTCTCTCTATGCCATGAGCCCTGCATTTCCTTAGCATGTGACTGCTCTCTGTAACAGACAGCTCAGTGCTGTGCAACTCTCTAAAAGGAGCTGTGCTTCATGGCTACTGAGGGACACCTTTAAAGTTTGGAAGGGTCTTCTGAAAATGCCTGCAAATTTGTATTTTTGCATATAAAGTCTCAATTTACAAGTACATTACAAATGCATTGCAAACATTTATAATTGAATGGAACATATTTTAATCTAAGAGTAATAACATAAAATGGTAGTTAGGTTGTCCACAAAGGCTATATAAACTGAAATAAAGAAATACATTGACCATAAAAATGGTGGAGGAGAGTGCTATTTCAATGTTGGCAAATAAAGAAATAGAAAAGAAATTTAAATCAATAAGTATTCTTTTTTTATTATTATTCTACTTTAAGTTCTAGGGTACGTGTGCACAACCTGCAGGTTTGTTACAGAGGTATACATGTGCCATGCTGGTTTGCTGCACTCATTTACATTAGGTATTTCTCCTAATGCTATCCCTCCCCCAGCCTCCCACCCCTCAACAGGCCCCAGTGTGTGATGTTCCCCACCCTGCATCCATGTGTTCTCATTGTTCAACTCCTACTTATGAGTGAGAACATGTAGTATTGGGTTTTCTGTTCCTGTGTTGGTTTCCAGCTTCATCCATGTCTCTGCAAAGGACATGAACTCATCCTTTTTATGGCTGCATAGTATTTCATGGTGTATATGGGCCACATTTTCTTAATCCAGTCTATCATTGATGGACATTTGGGTTGGTTCCAAGTCTTTGCTATTGTGAATAGTGCTGCAATAAACATACGTGTGCATGTGTCTTTATAGTAGCATGATTTATAATCCTTTGGGTATATACCCAGTAATGGGATCGCTGGGTCAAATAGTATTTCTAGTTCTAGATCCCTGAGGAATTGCCACCCTGTCTTCCACAATGGTTGAACTAATTTACACTCCCACCAACAGTGTAAAAGCATTCCTATTTCTCCACATCCTCTCCAGCATCTGTTGTTTCCTGACTTTTTAATTATCGCCATTCTAAATGGCATGAGATGGTATCTCACTGTGGTTTTGATTCACATTTCTCTGATGAGCAGTGATGATGAGCATTTTTTCATCTGTCTGTTGGCTGCATAAATGTCTTCTTTTGAGAAGTGTCTGTTCATATCCTTTGCCCACTTTTTGATGGGGTTGTTTTTTTCTTGTAAATTTGTTTAAGTTCTTTGTAGATTCTGGATATTAGCCCTTTGTCAGATGGGTAGATTCTCCCATTCTGTAGGTTGCCTGTTCACTCTGATGATAGTTTATTTTGCTGTGCAGAAGCTCTTTAGTTTAATTAGATCCCATTTGTCTATTTTGGCTTTTGTTGCCATTGCTTTTTGTGTTTTAGTCATGAAGTCTTTGCCCATGCCTATGTCCTGAATGGTATTGCCTAGGTTTTCTTCCAGGGTTTTTATGGTTTTATGTCTTATATTTAAGTCTTTAATCCAAGATGTAAGGAAGGGATCCAGTTTCTGCTTTCTACATATGGCTAGCCAGTTTTCCCAGCACCATTTATTAAATAGGGAATCCTTTCCCCATTGCTTGTTTTTGTCAATAAGTATTCTTTAAATTGGATTGAAGGCTCACAGTTGAGGATCTTGTCATGACCTGAACCTGCTCTACAGTGAGGTGTAATTGGGATGTCCTCTTTGTGACCACACATTCTGACATGTCTCTGATTTTCTCACAGGCACCAAATCTGTTCTTTCCCTCTCAGCCACTTCTTGTTTTTTAACCCTTCTGAACTCCAAACCCATCCATTCATCCATCCATCTTTCATCCATCTATCCTTTTCTGACCCTAGTTGGCTCCTTTTACAGAATGAACCACATAATTTAACTTTTCAGGATGTCCTCACCGACACCCCAAGATTCCTCACCCCATTGTCTTTCTGCTGTGCCCTACACAATGTAGGCACTCAATAAGTATTTGCTGACTACTGGCTGATGTCCCACCTTGCCACTACTTGGTGGTGCGGAAAGTCTTAAAACTGGCTTGATTGAATCCAGTAAAGTCTAACATCAGCAGGCACATACTCCAAAATCCTTCCATTCAACTCCAGATGACTTGATGCTGATTTTACAATGAGACTATAACATGTTTATACTAAGCCCTGTCTGCCGTTAAAAAATACCAACCATGGGAGGCAGAGGTGGGTGGATCCCCTGAGGTCAGGAGTTTGAGACCAGCCTGACCAACATGGTGAAACCTCGTCTCTACTAAAAATACAAAAATTAGCCAGACATGGTGGTGCATGCCTGTAGTCCCAGCTACTTGAGAGGCTGAGGCAGGAAAATGGTTTGAACCTGGGAGGTAGAGGTTGCAGTGAGTTCAGACCATGCCATTGCACTCCAGCCTGAGTGACAGAGTGAGACTCTGTCTCAAAAAAACAAAAACAAAACAAAACAAGAAAAACCCTAGGTCCCCTCAACCATTTTTTAAACCAGAAATATCTTGAGGTTAGGATCAAGAAAGCAGTATATGCAAAAACTTTCTCGTGGAGTCTCCTGTATAGCCAAGGTACCAAAGCCTGAATCCCATTTTCATATCCCTCACTTTGAGTAGTGAGAGGAGCAAGACAGGTTCCTCCTGTGTTACTGAGATGATAAGAGATACCTGGATTCTTCAAGTTCCCTCTCCCCTCTCCTAAAATGTCTCTTTAGAGCAACAGTAAGTGAACTTATTTTCTGTAAAGGGACAAATAGTAAATATTTTAGGCTTTCAGACCAAGAAGCAATATAATCAACTATTCCAGCAGCTGTTATCTGGTAAATACTTTTTAAATTTAGAAATGTTAAAACCATTCGGAGCTTGTGGGCCATACAAAAGCAGCCAACAGCCATAGTTTGCCAACCCCTGTTTTGATGTCACTACTGATCTCCTAACTGACAAACCCAAGGGCCTTTTTGAATATTTTATGCACCTTGACTTTTTTTTTTAATAAAATGGTCTTGCTCTGTCACTCAGGCCAGACTACAGTAGTGCTATCATGTCTCACTGCTACCTCAAACTCCTGGGCTCAAGTGATTCTCACACCTCAGCCTCCTGAGTAGCTGGGGCTACAGGCCTGCACCAGCAAGCCCAGCTAATTTTTGTTTGTAGAGACAGGGGTCTTGCTATGTTGCCCAGGCTGGTCTTAAAACTCCTGGGTTCAAGCAATATTCCCTCCTTGGCTTCCCAAACTGATAGGATTACAGGCGTGAGCCACCACACCCAGTGACCTTGACCATTTTCAAACCCTGATGACATTAACCACCTTTTTCCTCTTAGTGTTTGACTTTCATGTCATTAAAATATCTTGGTCATCCTACCTCTAGCCTATTCCTTCTCTGTCTCATTTACCAGTTCCTGTGCTGTACGTGCATATATGTGTGTGTGTGTGTGTGTGTGTGCGCGCGCGTGTGCATGTGTGTGTGTGTATACGTGTATTTGTTTGTATCTGCGTCTGCATATGTGTCCCAAGTCGTTGGCCCAAGTTGCTTCTATAGCCCTGTTGTCTATCAAGCTGGAGACATCTTTTTTAAAAAAATCAGCTTGCAGCTCACCCTTGGAGCCTGACAGTGCCGGCCCCAACTGCTCCTCAGATAAACTGCTCTCCTCAAGCTGTGCCTCTCCTGCAAGGAAGAACAGCACTGTCCCTCTGTAGTGTGCACTATAACCTAAGGCTGCTTTGCCCATTTACTGCTCTACCAAATTGAATCCCGAGGCCATGGGTACACAACCATAGCTGGTGAGAACAGTAGTGGCATCTCCGTACCCCATGTTGCAAGAGTTTATATTCTTATCAAGGTCAGTTGAATGAACAAAATGTATTTTCCTAATGTGGAAAAACTGACTTAAAATGTGGACTGAGAATAGTTGTCAGTTGCTCAGTATATTCAAATCTATATTCAAATGCCATCTCTGCCTTGAACAGTTAGTAGCAGGGACAGCTGTGCTGGGGAAAGTACCCTTCCAGCTGGAAGCTGAGCCTCAGAAAGGACTGTAGCCTGATTTTGAAACTACTAAGCATCCTAATGAAGTTGACTTGATTTACATTTTAACAATACCACACAAATGTACTACATGGCACTTTTCCAATAACCACTTCTACATCATTCATTTTGACACCTCCCATTGTATGAAAGGCAGAAGGAATAAAGCAATATTCTGTGATGAGATGCCTGGGGAGGGGAGCTGGTTTTTCATTTTATTTTCTAATTAGATAATCTTTTGGGATGTGCAGAGGTCTCCCAACTGAAATCCCATGATGTTCCTTCCCACTTGCATGAACATGAGGCCTGAGCTCTATCTGTCCACCGGGCCTCCAGGACAGCTGTGCAGTACTTAACACTTAGAATCTGACTCTCTGATCCATTCTGGGGGCCAGGAGTATCCTACTTCCCCTACCACCCAGCAACAGTCAGTCTTGGTTAAATGTATATAAGCTTTGGGATAGTACCCTTCCTTTAATGGAATGACCTGGTGATATGGTTTGGCTGTGTCCCCACCCAAATCTCATCGTATAGTTCCCATAATCCCCACGTGTTGTGGGAGGGACTAGGTGGAGACAATTGAATCATGGGGGCAGTTTCCCCCATCCTTTTCTCGTTTTATAAGGGTCTCCTCCCTTCACTGGGCTCTCATGTTTCTCCTTCGTCCTGTCATGTGAAGAAGGACACGTTTGCTTCCCCGTCCACCATGATTGTAAGTTTCCTGAGACTTCCCCAGCCCTGCGGAACTGTGAGTCAATTAAACCTCTTTCCTTTGTAAATTACCCAGTCTCAGGTATGGTCTTATAGCAGTGGAAGAATGGACTAATACACCTGCTCTTCTTGTCCCTGTGTCCTGGTCAGAAATTGAAGAGCCAATGCTACTTTCCTATTGGCAATATTCAGACCACTTTAAATATGGCCCCTGGGAGGGTTGATCAGAAATTTTCACAAGGTTTGCTGTCCCTAAAGAAGCAGTCCTCTTGGCACTGATGGAGTTTGTGTTAAACTTTGCTAAGAAGGGAATCCTCCTACATTTCTTTACTATTCTCTCTCTAGTCCTTGAGGAAGGTATTACTTATCATGCCTTGGGATATTCCATTTGGATGTTCCTAAGCTTTAAGATATCAAAAGCCAAGCTCAACATCTTCTGCACACCACAGTCAAGTGTCTGCCTCTAAGAGCTATGAATAGCCACATTGACAACAGAGGGTTAAATTTTGACTCTTTCTTTGATTCCTTCTTTTCCCTTAAGGATCTGGAAATTTAATATTTGTGCACTGACTCCGTGTTGACTAGCTGGAACCTATATCAGCATTAAAAGGGACTGATACAGTGATGGGTAGGTCACCTGGTTAATTCCTCATGCAGAGCATCAGTTTCCTCTACAGTATCTGTGGTTAAGTAAATAGTGATTCACCGTGTCCCTGCAGTACCTCCAGCAATGAAAAAGACCCTACAGTGTGAGGTGTCACTCAGATTTCTGACAGTACCATCTTCTTTCAAGTCTTTCCTTATGGAAAAAAAGGATATTTTTCTTTCAATAATATTTGTTATGAAAAAATAATATAAAATGGGCCCTGCAATGTGTTATAATTAAATGAACATTAGGGTCAAGGCAAACCCAGGTTCATATTTTGCAACCCCACAACATAGGTATGTCACTTTTGGCAAAGTCAAATCTTTTTCATCTTTAAAAAAGTAAAATTGCATGGCCTATTTATCTTATTTATTTATTCATTCTTACAACAAGTTTTAATGAATACATAGTATGTGCCAGGCACACTCCTTGATACCGAGGATATAGGAGTAAGCAAAACAGACAAAATCCCTGCCATCATGGAGCTAGCATTCCACTGGGTGGGGAAGGATTCAGAAACAAACCAAATGTAACAGTAAATTATATACTATGTAGATTAGGGGATATGAGCTATGCAAAAAAAAAAAATGGAGCAGGGAAAGAGAATAAGAAATAAGAAATCGATAATTAAGTAAATATTTAAAGAAGAGGAGTTAAGCTATCAGAATATCTGGAAGAAGAGTGTCTCACACCAGGGAACAGCAAGCACAAAGGCCCTGAACTTGGAGAGTGCCTGGTATGATGCAGGAATGGCAAAGAGGTCCATATGGCAGGAGCAGACAGAATGAGGATAACAGCAGGAGATGAAGTCAAGGAGGCAACAGCATTTTTAGCTTTAAATTTGAGAGTTTTGAGCACAGAAGTGACATAATCTGACTTATATTTTAACAAGCTCACTCTGATTGCTGTCCTGGTAAATGAGACAAGGGTAGAATTAGGGAAACCAGTTAAGAAGATATTGCAAAACCCAGGTAAGATATAATAGTTCGTAATATTTTGGCAGTACAATTAAGGTTGGATTCTGAATATATTTTGAAGATAAAGACATAGAGCTTTGCTGAGGGATTGGATATGGGGCATATTAGTTATCTATTGCTTCATAACACTTTAGCTCAACACATACTGGATTAAAGCAAACATTTATTATTTCATAGTTCTTGTGGGTCAGAAGTTCGAGAGCAGCTTAGGTGGGTAGTTTCGGCTCAGGGTGTCTTATTAGGTTGCAATTAGGATGCTATCAGGGGCTGCTATTATCTGAAGGCTTGACTGGGTCTGCCTTCAGATGGATCGTTGCATGGCTGTTGGCAGGAAGCCCCAGTCCCTTGTCACAAGAATCTCTCCATTGGGTGCTTGTGTGTCTTCATGATAAGACCATTAACTTCCCCCAGTGTTATGGTGTAATACGTGGATGTCCCCCAACCCCAAAATTCATATATTGAAACCCCAGCCTCCAATGTGACTGTATTTGGAGATAAGGCCTTTGGGGATGTGATTAAGGTTAGATGAGCTCATAAGAATGGGGTCCTGATCCAATAAGATAAGTGCCTTTAAAGAAGAGACACCAGAGAGCTTGTTCTCTTTCTCCACCAGTGAGAAGGTGGCATCTGCAAGCCAGGAAGA
The DNA here is from genome assembly GCF_000001405.40 of Homo sapiens. Classification (NCBI taxonomy): domain Eukaryota; kingdom Metazoa; phylum Chordata; class Mammalia; order Primates; family Hominidae; genus Homo; species Homo sapiens. The sequence continues at coordinate 8,349,836 of NC_000006.12, read as the reverse complement.
GAACCCTCACCAGAAACTGATCATGCTGGACCTTGATCTTGGAATCCTAGCCTCCAGAACTGTGAGAAAATTTGTTGTTTAAGCCACCCAGAAGCTTTTATTATGGCAGCCAGAGCATACTAACACAGTCAGAGTGAGAAAAGAGAAACAAAAAGGAAGTCACAGTGTCATTTACAACCTAGTCTTCAAAGTTGTACATCTTCACTTCCATTTTATTTTTTTATTAGAGACAAGTTAATAAGACCAACTCTCACTCAAGGGGAGTGAAATTAGGCTCCACTATTTGAAGGGAGGAGTATAAAAAATAGTGGGCATATTTTAAGACCACCATATAGGGTATGAAATAAATAGAAGCAAAAACAATCATGCCAAGATTTCTGGACTCAGTAGTTGGAGGAACAGAGCTAGCACTAATGGAAATGTAGGCAACAATGAATGAGTAGCAACATCAGTTTAGTTTTGTACATGTTAAGTTTGAGTTGCCTAAAACACCTCCAAATGGAGATGTCAAGTAGGCAGTGGAATATGTGAATCTGGAATCAATGAGTAATTTGTGCTATAAATACAGATTTGGGAGTTAATGAGCATATAAATTGCATTCGAAGACATGAAGCTTAGTGTGGAAAGAAGAGATAAGGAGGGTAGTAAAAAGGGAAGGGATGGTAAAAATGAGGGAAGGGGAGAGGAGAGAAGAGCTATGCCTGAGCCCTGGAATATTCTTACATTAAGGGAAAGAGGTATGAGGAGGAACCAGAAAAGGAGTTGTCAGTGGGGTAAGAAGAAAACAAGGAGAGTGATATTTTGAAAGCTGAGTGTAGAAAGTGTTTCAAGGACTACAGAATGGTCAGCTAATGTCACTGATGATACAGGATGAAGTCTGAAAACTGGCCATTGGATTTAGTAATGTCGAGGTTATCAGTGACCTTAATGAGAACAGCTTTACTAGAATGTTAAAAGGAAAGCGTACTTGTGTGAAATTTAAGAGAAAATGAAAAGAGAGGAATCACTGAGGTGATAAAAGCCATCTGGTATATGTTTTCTCATATTCTCTCTTTACTGAGATTTCCTTGTAGAGTGACTAATCATCTCTTAATTGATAAAGCCAAGAGTTTTCTTGAACGTTTTATGCACCTTGATATTTTCACAGCCCTTGACACCATCAATGTACTTTCTTCATCCTGTTCCTCAGCTCGTGTACGTGGATGGTGCATGTGTGTGTGTATGTGTGTGCGTGTGCTGCATCTACATGTGCACGAATATGTGTGTATCTAGTCCCATCTGCTGATCTGAGCTGCTTCTGTGACCACGCTTTCTGTCTGTCAAGCTTGGGATCCACTTATTTTATTTCTCTCTTTTTTTAAAATTCTTTTTTTATATATATACTTTAAGTTCTAGGGTACATGTGCACAATGTGCAGGTTTGTTACATAGGTATACATGTGCCATGTTGGTTTGCTGCACCCATTAACTCATCATTTACATTAGGTATTTCCCTTAATGCTATCCCTCCCCCTACCCCCAACTCCATGACAGGCCCCGGTGTGTGATGTTGCCTGCCCTGTGTCCAAGTGTTCTCATTGTTCAATTCCCACCTATGAGTGAGAACATGCGGTGTTTGGTTTTCTGTTCTTGCAATAGTTTGCTCAGAATGATGGTTTCTAGCTTCATCCATGTCCTACAAAGGACAGGAACTCATACTTTTTGGGATCTACTTATTTTCTTAACCCAACTGCAGCTCACCACTGGAGCCTCTTTTAAAGAGTTTCAGTTGTAAAGAGAAGCAGAGGAGTGGGACAGTAGCTGGGAAAAGTGGAGTCAAGGCAAAGTTCCTTTCAGATGGGAGAAATACTGAAGGTTTGAATATCGATACATTATAGAGGATTAATGCAGTAGAGAAAATAATAGTGCATGGAAGAGAGAAGGGGGCATCAATTGTCATGATGACTACATTAAATGAGATAATATTAGCCTTCATTTAAACCCCATGTGTTAGACATTATATAAAATACTCTAGGTACATTATCCTATTTCATTCTACCTGAAGTCCTATGAGGTAAAGTATTATTATACTCATGTTATGGATGCTGATTCCAAGGCTAGTCAAGTAATGTGCCCAAGGTCACCCAGATAATGAACAGTAAAGCTGATGCTCTTGTCTACCTGATGCCACACTCTACACAGTGCCTGCCATGGACAAAAATGCAATGAAAATCTTTTTGTTTGCTTCATTTATCTTTCCTTCCTAGATAGCTATTACAGTGTGGTGCATAGAGTAAATGCCCAATAAATGCGTGCTAGGTGTATTAGTTCATTTTCACGCTGCTATAAAGAACTGCTTGAGACTGAATAATTTATAAAGGAAAGAGGTTTAATTGACTCACAGTTCCCTATGGCTGGAAGACCTCAGAAAACTTACAATCATGGCGGAAGGCACCTCTTCACAAGGCAGCAGGAGAGAGAATGAGAACCAAGTGGAAGGGGGAAGCCCCTTATAAAACCATCAGATCTCATGAGAACCTACTCACTATCATGAGAATAGCATGGGGGAACCGCCCCATGATTCAGTTACCCCCCACCTCCCAAAACATGTGGGGGTTATGGGAACTACAATTCAAGATGAGATTTGGATTTGGATGGGGACACAGCCAAACTATATCATTCCACCTCTGGCCCCTCCCAGATCTCATGTCCTCACATTTCAAAACACAATCATGCCTTTCCAAACACAATCATGCCTTTCCAACAGTCCCCCAAATCTCAACTCATTCCAGCATTAACCCAAAAGTCCAAGTCCAAGGTCTCATCTGAGACAAGGCAAGTCCCTTTGGCCTATGAGTCTGTAAAATCAAAAGCAAGTTAGTTAGTTCTGAGATACAATGGAGGTACAGGCATTGGGTAAACACACCTGTTCTAAATGGAAGAGACGGCTGAAACAAAGAGGCTACAGGCCCCATGCAAGTATGAAATCCAACTAGGTAGTAATTAAATCTTAAAACTCCAAAATAATCTCCTTTGACTCCATGTCTCACATCCAGACCACACTGAAGCAAGATGTGGGCTCCCCGGCCTTGGGTAGCTCCACCCCTGTGGCTTTTCAGGGTAAAGTCCCCCTTCCAGCTGCTTTCACAGGCTGGCATTGAGTGCCTGTGGCTTTTCCAGGTGCCCAGTGCACGCTGTTGGTGGATCTACCATTCTGGAGTCTGGAGGATGGTGGCCCTATTCTCACAGTCCCATTAGGCAGTGCCCCAGTGGGGACTCTGTGTCCTCACATAACCCCACATTTCCCTTCCACACTGCCCTAGCAGAGGTTCTCCATGAGGGCCCCACTCTTGCAGCAAATTTCTGCCTAGACATCCAGGCATTTCCATACATCCTCCGAAATCTAGTTGGAGGTTCCTAATCCTCAATTCTTCACTTCTGTGCACCCACAGGCTCAACACCATGTGGAAGCTGCCAAGGCCTGGGGCTTGTACCCTCTGAAGCCACAGCCCAAGCTGTACCTTGGCCCCTTTTAACCATGGCTAGAGCAGCTGGGACACATGGTACCAAAGCCCTAGATTGCACACAGAAGGGGAACCCTGGGCCAAGCCCAGGAAAACATATTTTCCACCTAGGTCACCAGGCCTATAATGGGAGGAGCTGCTGCAAAGGTCTCTTACATGCCCTGGAGACATTTTCCCCATTGTCTTGGTGATTTACATTTGGCTCATTACTTATGCAAATTTTTGCAGCTGGCTTGAATTTCTCCTCAGAAAATGGGTTTTTCTTTTCTATTGCATCCTCAGCCTGCAAATTTTCCAAATTTTTATGCTCTGCTTCCTTTTTAAACATAAGTTCCAATTCCAAACCATATCTTTGTGAATACACAAAACTGAATGCTTTTAACAGCACCCAAGTCACATCTTGAGCACTTTCCTGCTTAGAAATTTCTTCCACTAGATACCCTAAATCATCTCTCTCAAATTCAAAGTTCTACAAATCTCTAGGGCAAGGGCAAAATGCCACCAGTCTCTTTGCTAAAACATAGCAAGAGTCACCTTTATTCCAGTTCCCAAAAAGTTCTCCATCTCCATTGGAGACCATCTCAGCCTAGACTTCATTGTCCATATCATTATTAGCATTTTAGTCAAAGCCACTCAGGAAGTCTCTAGGAAGTTCCAAACTTTCCCACATCTTCCTGTCTTCTTCTGAGCCCTCTAAACTGTTCCAACCTCTGCCTGTTACCCAGTTCCAAAGTCACTTCCACATTTTTGGGTATCTTTACAGCAGTGCCTCACCACCCAGTACTAATTTACTGTATTAACTCATATTCATGCTGCTATAAAGAACTGCCTGAGACTGGGTAATTTATAAAGGAAAGAGGCCTCTGAAAACTTACAATCATGGCAGAAGGTACCTCTTCACAGGGTGGCAGGAGAGAAAACAAGAATCAAGCAAAGGGGTAAGCCCCTTATAAAACCATCAGATCTCAAGAGAACTTACTCACTATCATGAGAATAGCATGGGGGAACTGCCCCCATGATTCAATTACCTCCCACCAGGTCCCTCTCACAACACATGGGGATATGGGAACTACAACTGAAGATGACATTGGGTGGGGAAACAGCCAAACCATATCACTAAGTACATTTTTTTAATGAAAATGAAAATGTATTTAGAAAATGAGTATAAATACTGAACTATTTTTATGCAGTCCTTGAAAGATACCCTGCTATTCAAGAGTTGCCCCTAAATTATATCTTTCTTGTAAACAATTAAAATAATTCAGAAAATTCACTTAATTTTGAGAATTTATATTGGATTCCTTAATGTATACTTTCATATTCAACAGCCAGGCAATTCAACTTTTAGAATGAAATTTCTAACATTGGTATGACAAGTAATTATTTCTCTAGAATCACTGGGCATCAGAGAATCCGGTTGATTGAATAATACAAATGACAATTTTATACCATCTGAAGATTACCAATTTAAAAAAATCAAAAATCTCTCCTTAGCACCAAAACTTGCCCTAAGATCTTGCTTTGCTGCCTGTCAATGAAGTATTTCATGGTTTGTTCATGCCTCAGGGCTGAGGTTATGAAGATGAATTATCATCACATGTTTCAGTGGAAAAGCAGCCAGGCTGTTTAACCTTCCTAGTTTTCTGAATTCTGAATGAGTGGAATTCTGAATTAATGTCAGAAGAAAGTTTTATTAGGAAACAAAGACAGGAAACCAAAGTAGCCTGGAAGTGCCTTTAAAGGATACCACACATCATTCTGAGTAGACTTGAGCAAACCCAGGGAGTAAAAAACATGTATCCAAAGAGCAGCAGGATCTCCCAAGAGCAGCTGGCTCTTCCTGGACCAATATTTCTGCCAAGAACCCCACCTTGGATGTCCTGAATGTTGGAAGGTTTTGCATGAAGCCACAATCTCTTGTAATCTTACCAATAATAATAATGATAATCATAACTTCTATGGCGTCTCATTTGAGCCCATTGTGGCAACAGAATGTCTATGTGTATAGTTAAGCATTTTTACAGCAATGCTGTGTTGATAAGCACCATCCATTCCAACAGTCCTGATCCATTCAACAATAAGTGCCATTCTACTGAAATATCTCCTTCTTTGTCTCAGCTCAAAGGCAACTATCCTGGAAAAGCCTGAGCCAAATTTCTTGAACTACATTTGAGTTATACATGAATGTAGGGAAAAAACTACACTTTTCCTGTATTTAAAAATTGTTCAGAATTATTCATTTCTTTTCATCTATGGCATTATAAGGTAGTAGCACACCTGATGGCATTTCATTTTTTTCCTAATGTTTCCTTGGCTTTATAAGTTCACTATTTTAAAAAAATTTGAAATATATGCTAAGCTGTTCAATACAGCTAATTTTAATGATATTCAAGAGATTTTTCTTCAGTTCCCTAGCCGATGTCCATGCTCCTCAATGAGGAAGGAAAAATCAATTCAATTATCAAAGCACGGTTAATTGCTTTCAAGATTAGGGTGATTTAAAGAGCAGCAAACTATTTTATCTGTACTCAGCAGTTTTGGCTAAGAATACTCTCCTAAGTGCACTGGAAGGGAAGTTTAAGATTCCATGAGTTCACATGTGACATCCTTCCCAGCTCTTCCCTTGCTTGTCATTAATAGAGCTAATGGCAGGGGCTCTTATACCAAAGAGCCACAGCACGGGGACATTATTTTCAACTAGTAGTATCTGTTTTGTCTCTCAAAAGACAGATATTTTTAGGTCTTGGTGCTTGGCAGTCCCAATTTGAATATTTAGTCAAAGTAGTGTTGTGAACATGCATAGAATAGAGAGAAAGCTTCTTTATCCACTTTATATATTCGCTGTGGACCAGAGGTCTTTTACTTCTAGTGTCACTTGAGTTTAGTTCGATTTTTGCAGCTTGTATCATGTTGGCAGAACCTTCTAGAAGCTATGATATGAAGATAGTAAAATGTGGCTTCTGCCCTTTGGGAACTTACCGTCCAGAAAGGAGGGTAGACAGAAGCACAGATCATTTCATCTTCAGGGTAAAATGCAGTTAGGGCCCATGGAAGGCTCAACCAGAAATGTTTCCTGGGCAGCTGTGCCTGCTCTGAGGAGAGAAGGGTGGTGTGAAGGTCGCCAGGGGAAGGGAAATTATCTTCCAGGTGGAGGTAGACATGTGAGCAAAGACAAAGAGACGTGAATCAGCTGGGTGTGCACAGGAAACACTCTGGTATTATTAGGGCATGAGCTACAAGTGACAGAGGGGTGGGAAGTGAGGAGAGGAAGCTCTTAAGCTGAACATCAAGCATCATCCTGCAGGCCATGGAGAACCATGAGAAAGCTTTAAATGGGGATGTAAAATGTACGTAGAACATGGTTTAAATTTCAACATCTTTTGATGATTAAAAACATATATGGATCACAGAAAATTAGGAAAATACAGAAAATTATAGAAAAAAATGTATAATCTCACCACCGAAAGACAACCAGCACTAACACTACCACTGTGCTGTTTTTCCTAACAATTTTCCATATGCATGTGTGTGCAGGTATATATATAATGCATATGTATGTATATGTAATATATATAATGCATGTATATGTGGTAGTGATTTTCCTAACAATCTCTCATTGTATAAACATATATATAATGCACATGTATATGTAAATTAACGACATGAAAAATGTATTTTCTTAACAGATGATCTGTGGAAGGGAGAGAGCAGCATGCTGGAGGGGATGATTTGGCAAGTCCGCTGAAGAACACAAGCCTCGACTGCTCCCCGGCGTGGAAGAAGGAAGGCGATAAATACTGTAACGGAGGACGAGGAAGGAGCACTGAGTTCTATGTGGAAAGAAAGGGTCAAAAAGAGGAAAACGCCTATTCACATGCATGGCGTTTAACAGATTTATTAGGTTGTTTGCTGTGTGATGTAAATCTCCTCCTCTCTCTCCTTGAAATTTCTTGAGTGAATTCTACATTGTTCATTCATTCATGTTTATGTGCCAGCAAGCTTTGGGAGCACTGTAAAAATAAAAAAGGTTAGACCACTGTTAGACATCTGGGAAACATCTATGTTAGAGAAGGACTATATATTAATTTATCTCATTTATGGGAGGCAAATACTATGATTATTGAAGGTACATCTCTTTCTTTATGGATGGAGTACATCTTATTTTTCTAAAATTTGTATTTGAACCTATTTATTTCTAATTGTCAAAAATGTGAAGTGAGAAACTTAAAAACTTTTTAGTTTCTCTTGTCCCACCATTTTATGTACTTCCAGGTTGTCAAATAATTTGGAATTTTAGACTTAGATAATTCTCTAATGTATATTATAGATCTTCTATTTCAATAATTAGCTTATATTTTAATTAAATTGTATAACTGCATTAAAATATACTTAACTATGTTTTTCTAGTTTTATTATTTGGTTTTTCATTTAGGAAATATTTATGTTTGTGTGTATATATAGTTGCCCTTCTAGAATTCTTTAGTTTGATTGCATCTCTATAGACTAGATAATGGTATCTGTCTTACTTATTTATTTATTTTTAAGACAGTCTCATTCTGTCACCCAGGCTGGAGTGCAGTGGCGCAATCTCAGCTCACTATGACCTCCACTTCCTGGGTTCAAGTGATTCTCCTGCCTCAGCCTCTTGAGTAGCTGGGACTACAGGCATGCACCAGCATGCCCAGCTAATTTTTGCATTTTTAGTAGAGATGGGTTTTCACCATGTTGGTTGGCCAGGCTTGTCTGGAACTCCTGACCTCAGGGGATCCTTCTGCCTCGGCCTCCCAAAGTGCTGGAATTACAGGTGTGAGCCACCACGCCTGGCCAGTATATGTCTTTGGGTAAAATTTTTTCAGAAAGAGTGAATAAACCATGATAACTGATCTTTACTTAGCACTTCCCATGTGCCAGTCATTATTCTTTATCTGTATTAACTCATTTAATCTAGACAACAACCCCATGAGTAAGTTACCACTACCCAGTAGTGGCTCTTGGGATGGGTGGAAGGAAGGATGACGAGGTATATGGAGATCAATCAGGAAGCGATTACAAGAAACCTGGTGAGGGACAAGGGAGGCCTCAGTGAGAAAGAGACAGATGTGAGAAATGTCTGACATCACCCAGAGAGTGAGCACAGGATCCAATAGGTAGTTTTTCAGCCCTTGCCCCTCCCTTCCCCTCTCACCCCTCTAGTTAGGAGTCACCAGTTCCTATTGTTGCCATCTTTTTGTCCACAATTACCCAATGTCTGGCTCCCACTTATAAGTGAGAACTAACCCTTAACATCCTCCACTTATTGCAGTTAGAAATCTCATTGTGACGTCCACAAAGCAAGTGAATATTTGAATATTGGCTCAATCATTAACTAATTTTGTGACCTTAGAAAAGTTACTTAGCCTTTCTGAGCCTCATAATCTTCATCTGCAAATGGAAAAATAATAATTCCTGCCTCTCGTTGTTACTATGAACACTGTAATATTGAATATAATTAAATACTCTTCCTCATCCTTCTTATAATTGCTTGTGTTTGGGTAAGCTTGTCTACTAGACACAAGTTCCTCGAAGGCAGAAGTACTCTTCAGTGAATCTTTACAATACTCCAAGCACATAATACTCAATAAAAATTAAAATGAATATGTAATCTGTCTGTGTCCTTTCTATGCAAATAGAGACTGTGAAGATAATTAGAAACAGGGTTTTTTTCCCCTTAGTTATGTTAGCTGTTTTCTCCTATATACTTGCTCTTATTTCATTTTTTATTAAAGACCTAAATAAAAAAAGCCAGATTGTGTTTAGTCAGTCACTAATCCTAAATTAGTAGTAATTTTAGTTATGAGATTTTTATTGAGTATATCCTCCAACACTGATATAATTATAAAATGGCTGCACATGCATGTCAGTACATATTTTACATATACATGTAAAGAACTTAGAACAGTGCCTAGTACATAGTAACTGATTGATCAAAGTTAGCTATTATTATAATTATTAGTGCAGAAAACAATGATTAGGAATATTTGGGTGTTTCTTCTGTTGCAAGCAACAGAAATTAACTGTCAACCTTTAACAAGAAAAAAGGTCCCATGAAATGGTTCCTTATCATTTACAGAATTAGAGGAAGAACTGAAAAATTACGAAAAGCATAGAACATTGCTGGAGGGCATTGCTATTGGATGACAAGCACCAATCTCTTTCCAGAAACAATCTTTGGTCAAGATTTTTCTTTTACTGGAAAAGAGAAACGGACTTCAAATGGATTTTGGACCACCCCAGAGGAGCATGGGCTAATGACTGGCAGCCCTTCTGAGCCAAATACTAGGACCGGCAATGGGCAAGCAGAAGGAACATATGTTCCATACAAAACTTAAACAGGAAACAACTCATCATTATATCATGCTCACCTTTGTGAATTTTTCGAGACTCTATTTGTGTTTCTTTAAATTTTATCATTTGCCAATTTATGGGACTCAATATGTGGGGAATTGTAGACTACAAATATGGGCTTTGTTCTAACTAGGAATTTTGTTAAATGTTATTTAAGCAAAGGAAAAGATAACCCTAAAGCTCCAAGCCATTCCCTATAGGTTATTAAGCAAATATGGAGATGTACAACTAACCTCATAAATACATTATTGTTGTTCTCTGCATTTGACAATTCGATTTTTATTGATTATTATCTGTGGCACAAAGGTTTTGAGGCAAAATCTGTTCACTGATAGGCAAATACATAGCATGCTTCCTGTCAGGTTCATTCATTCATTCAATACATATTACAAGCCCTGGCCTGGAGGTAGGTAGACAAAGGTAAACAAAGCTCACAGACCAATGCTGGAGAGGAAACACACTCATCATCACACAGGTAAGTATATGGCTACAGATGAGGACAAATTCTATGAAAAAAAAATTCCTATGAAAAATATAATTGGAAATTCTCCTTTATATTGGGTAATCAAAAAAGGCTTTTCTGAATAAGTGAGAGATGATAATAATGATGGTGGAGATGAAGATATGGAGTCCAGATACATTGCAGGAGATAGAATCTACAGGACTTCACGCAACCTGATTGAGAAAAGATGAGTCCCAGGTTCCTGGCATGAGAAACCAGGTAAATGGGGATGCCACTTACTGAGATGTGGTCACTGGAGTAGCAGTAAATCCAGAGGGGATGGTGAAGTGTTAAAGTTGTTAAATTTGAGCTGCTACATGATATTCAAGTGGAAATATCAGGAAATTCAGCAGGAAGATACAGTGGTGTGAGCATAAAAGAGCAAGGGATGAAGATATACTTTTGGATGTTGTTATATACAGATGTTAATTGAAGTTGTGGACAAGGGCAAAATTGCTGAACGAGAACATGGGCAATGAGATGAAGTGGAAGCTCAGGGCACAGCACTGGAAATTCCAACTTTCGGTAATGAATAGGCAGGAGAAACCCCAGGAAGAGACAGAGAAAGAGTGTCCCAAGACATGTGGAGAGAAGAAAGTGGCATACGCATGATCAGAAATGAGAAACATCACAGGAGATGCATGTAAAGTTATCTGGAAATTTAGAGGAGAGAAATTATGTCCAATCATGGAACCAGCTTTAGACAAATCAGTTTTCAAGTGCAACTACATTTTCCAGCCCATTCTGGTTAGAAACCAGCTCCACTGAAATATAAACTTGTAATAACTTGCTTTTTCAGAACATGTTGGTGGCATTGTCAGTCTTGGAAAACAAGAGGACGAGACAACACCTCTGGAAGACAAAGAATCAGAAAGCTCTCCTAACTCTTTTAATGACATGATTATGGGAACTGACTTGTGTTGGGAAGCAGCTGAGAAAGTTAAACCATCTTTGTAAAAAGGTGTCTCTCTGTATTGGGCTTGCACCAAGCCTTTTCTCACCTCTCTTGAGTGACAACATAATGTGCCATGATGTTGTCTTAAAATCGAGACTCTCAAAAGGCTGTGGCCCCTGTGCAAAGGGAGAATGGTTTCTATTATCTGCGGCTTAGACATCAACGAAGAGATTTCACATAAACTATAATTGGAATCGTGGATAGGCTGGGACCCTGCAGAGACAGGAGTGAGACAAAAACAGACAAAGAAGTCTGCAAGGTGTTTGCATGTGCAAACACGTATGTGTGGAAAGGCAGAGGACAATCCCAGAGGAGAGGGAGCTGCTTATAGTGGCCAGAGCATCAGTGGCCTGAATGAGGGCAGACTGAGATAAGGCAGCAGAAGTCATATAAACCCGGGCCATGAACAATATTAAATTCCAGTCCAAGAATGTTGTCACTGGGAGAGGATATTCTTTGTGGAGGGCTGAGCTGGGGAACTGTGTGTGTGTGTGTCTGTGTGTGTGTGTGTCTGTGTGTGTGTGTGTGTGTGTAATTGATCTGTATTTTACTGTTCTCTGTTCCTACTTCTTGATATGGAGAAAGGAAAGTAAATCCTCAAGAAAAATAATGTCTGAGAATAATGCTCTCTTGTCCCAAAAAGGCTAGTGATGATGGAGGAGGAAGAAGACCCGAAAAGCAACAAAGAGCTGGTGGCAGAGGGAGGTAGTCAGCGGGAAAATCTTCACTTGCCAAATCCTCACGCCAGCAACTGCAGGCTGGAGTCATTCCCCAAATCTAATGATTTGACGCCTGAGACCTCTGGACCCAGAAAGAATGAAACAAACCTCTGTTCTTCCATAGGACATTTGCTCTTACTTTGCTCTTCAGAGCAGTTGCCTGCCTTTTGTTTCCAGCCTCCTTCTGTCCCTTCCCCAAGTCCTCAGGGAATATTTTTGAGTTGAAAAAATGACATGATTAAGCTGAGTTATAGAAGAATGGCCAAGTAGTGGGTCTTGGGATGGGTGGAAGGAAGGATGACGAGGTATATGGAGATCAATCAGGAGATGATGACAAGAAACCTGGTGTGGGACAAGGGAGGCCTCAGTGAGAAAGAGACAGATGTGAGAAATGTCATGGAACTGAAAATGAAACAAATTATGGGCTGATTAGATATGAAAGCAGGAATAGTGAGCAGGGGCCAGCTGACCCGGTTGGCCAGGGACTCTTGAGGTTTTAGCACTGATAGACCCACTCCTGGGAAACCTTTCAATCCCGGACAAAATAGGATGGTTTGTCACTCTAGGAGGCAGTGACAGTCCTGAGATTTCAATTCTGGGTAGCTCAAAGAATTATGGCGTCTTTAACAAAAACAGGATGCACCGGTGGAAAGAGGCCTACAGGAGAAAAATAACCAGTTAGGTTTGGCATGTTAAGTGTGGGGTTCCTGTGGGGCAGCTGGCCGTGGGACCCAGGCTCATAGCAGACTCGGTCAGAATAAGAGTCACAGGTGGGGAGCTGCTCACCTGGAGGCAGCTGAAGCTCTGATATTAGGTAAACTTTCCCAGGGAGAGAGTTCAGAGAGAACAGTAATAAGAAAAACAACGGGTCCTTGAGTGGCTCTATTTAAGGGACAAAGGAAGGTGGAGGAACTGGATAGGGAAACAAAGAGGGAGAGGAGAGTGGAGCAGAAGACAGCGCTGAAGGGAAAGGAGAGAAAGGAAGGCGTGTGCAGGCAGCTGTTCTTCAATGCTCCAAGATTAAAGCAGAGAAATTGCAACATAGAAGATTAGGCCTTTGGATTTAGTGGCTAAGATGTGATTGACGGCCTTGGAGAAGAAATTTTAGTGGTAGTAAGGGTTGAAACTCTGCATCAAGAAATTCCAGAGTAAATGGGCAGAGACACAGAGGAAACGCAAAAGCAGTCTCTCAAGGAGCTTGGCAATGTAGAAAAGAAGGATGACAGCCCGGCGTGGTGGTGCATGCCTGTAATTCCAGCACTTTGGGAGGCCAAGGCGGGCAGATCACCTGAGGCCAGGAGTTTGAGACCAGCCTGACCAACATGGCAAAACCCCGTCTCTACTAAAAGTGCAAAAAAAAAAAAAAAATTAGCCGGGTATGGTGCGGGTGCCTGTAATCCCAGCTACTCAGGAGGCTGAGGCAGGAGAACTGCTTGAACCCAGGAGGCAGAGGTTGCAGTGAGCCGAGATCACGCCACTGCACTCCAGCCTAGGCAACAAGAGTGAGACTCCGCCTCAAAAAAAAAAAGATGACAAGCTAGTAAGCTACTTTAGCATTACATTAACTTTTAAAACACTAATGGACAGTTGCTAAGCGGCCGTGGTATGGAAAAGCACTCTGTAAAATTATCAAATATTTACCAGTAACCAGTTATGGGACTTGGTGAGTCACTAGCCCGCCAATCCACGGTGCCTGAGGTCTGTGACTGGATAACTCAGCTCAGACATTTTCCAAGGTTTCTTCCACCTTCACTGGACTTTCTAGAATTCCAGGCCATGAAACAAACAACCATTCTTCTGTGATGCCAAACTGATTTTCCCCAATTATCTAAAGCAGCATTGTCTGATAGAACGTACCATAAGGATGGAAACGCTCTATTTCAGCGGCATCAAATGCCGTGGCCACGAGCCACATGTGGCTATTGAGCACTCGAAATGTGGCCAGTGTGATGGATGAACTGAATTTTTAATTTTATTTAATTTTAATGAATTTAAATTTAAATAGCCGCATATGGCTGGAGCCTAATGTATGAGATAATGCAGCCCTAAGGAACCATCATGAAATTCTCAGAAAATTTCAGACTCAATTTAGAATATTTGCATACCATGTGCTATATTTTGCTGGACTGTGAAACAGACAAGCTCTTGAGTACATTAGCTGCCAAAATGTTTTACCAAATAAATACACCAAGTAAATACATGATGAAAGAAAGCTATGTTTTCTGTTACCAGGGTAACCATCCTGGCAGAGAATGAGTTTCACCACCAAAGAAAAATGCCTCTGAAAAGGTTAGTTTCTTCCTATTACTAAACAAAGTAGCCCCAAATGTGTTAGGAGAAACTTGCTGAGTGGGAGATAGGCTCAGAAGCATGCTGGAATTAGATCATTACATCTAGAGTTGGTGTGTACCTAAATTACTAAATTAGTCCTAATTGGTTAACTAGTTTAACTAATTATGTTAGAATAAAAGCTGCTGAAGGCTAGATAAAGCAAAGTTTATTATCTAAATAACACTATTTAAAAGTGAAAAATTGTCCTAGAAGTTTTGTCCTTTGATCATCCCTATTGGCTCTAAGTGTTACTAGAAATTAGGTATCAAATATCTGAAAAATTGGCCTTCTGTTCTTTTAGTAAATCAAGGTATTCACTAAGCAAGATATTTTTTTCTTGTATGGAAATACTATTCTGATCCCATTGTGGATATAAGCAAAAGCAAGTTTGAAATTTAATAAGATGACAAAGGGAGACATCATCACTACCATAGTTTCCCAACTGCAAATACAAAATTACAAATAATTGCCCTTTGATTCATCAGTGTCATCATTTTTAATCTGAGAGGTAAGAGGATTATTTTCTTAAGGCACACAGAATTGGCTGATGTTGAGAAGAGGGGAGCAACTGTAAAATGTTAGCTGGTAATACTGTTACTAATTGCTCAAATGGTTAGAGACAATTGAGTCTAACAGCAAGAAACCCTAGCCAGTCACCTCAGCATCAAAGGTGGCTTTGTCACAAGCAACCAAAATGAATGACTCAGAGCTAATATTGCCAGTACGGCGAAAAGCTAAAAAGAAATTAGCACATGTCATAGGGTAATATAAAAGATATTGAACTAGTTGACTTGGACTGTGGTCCTGATCAAAGCACTTATTAGCTACAAACTAAAGCTAAGATAGCTACGCTATCTGGGCCTCAACTGGCTCATTTATAAAATGAATCAGATCCTACACTAATAGCAATAATGATAATCATTATTACAACAGGTCCTGAGATGGCCAACTTTGAAATTTTATTAAATAGGACACCTCTCACACATTAAATTAATGATTCTCTGAAGAAACATTTACAATTAAAAGTGGCACCCCAGTGTGGCAGTTCCCCAATAAGTTAAACACGGAATTACCATATGACTCAGCAATTCCACTCAAAAGAATCGAAAACATGTTCAAACAAAAACTTGCACAAGAATGTTCACAGCATCACTATTCACAATAGCCAAAAGGTAGATAAATGAATTGTGGCATATTCATACAACAGAGTATCACGACCATATAAAGGAATATAGAATTGATACATGCTCCAACGAGGATGAATCCTGAAAACATTATGTGAGGTACAGAAGCCAGACACAAAAGACAATGTGTGATATAAAACGTCTAGGACAGGCAAACTCACAGAGACAGAAGCAGATTGTTGGTTGCTGGGGTACAGGGCAGGGGTAGTGGGAGTGACTGCTGATGAGATGGGGTTTTCTTAGGGGATGGTGAGAACATTCTGGAACTAGACAGCAGCTTGCACCACACATTGTGGATGTACTAAATGCCACTGAATTGTACACTTTAAAATGATTAAAATGGTAAATTTTATGTTATGTGTCTCATGCCACAATTTTTTTGAATGCTAGATAAAGAGTGGAATTGCTCATTTGAAAACTGATTAAACTCAAAAAAATAAGATTCTCCTACAGGTTAACAGCCATTTCATTAAATACTAACCTAATAATCTAGTAATTCACTCTAAACTTCCTCTAGATCTACAGCCCCATGTATAAAAAGAGGACAGTGAATTCGCTAGATCAGTGGTTCCATATATTAATATGATGTCAGATACACTAGTTTCTTTCAGTCAGTTGTATGAAAAGGGAAGAACTACATCTAATAGCTTGGAGTTGGGTATAGCCTACAGTCCATGTCGCCCATGAGAAAGTCCCAAACTCAAAACCCAGCTACCTAGTAGGGAGCATCCTCATGGAAGAAACGTTTGGACTCACTCATTTAAATGATTCAGTAAGAAATAGCTGCAGCCCATAAGCACCTCAGAATAGTGCTAGAATAACGTCAGGACATTTTGTTAATGAGAACACCATGAAATGATCACCAAGAAAATTTTTTAAATGTGAGTTTTAGGCCAACACCTTTTCCAGGTATATTCCATGCTATAGCAAGGGATTTCAGAATAAATCTTCCATCTGGCCCACTGGGATATTCTACAATGAGCAGGCCACAGATGCTTTAATAATCTCTACCAGTCATTCAGGACCTCCTAAAGACCAAAGTAAGAGCAGTTTACAAGGAAGATAATAAAGTAGATGAGACCAAGGCCCCACAAGCAACTCAAGGAAAATGGAAGAAGCAACTAGGAAAAAGGAGAAGAAAATGTCAGAGGCACCAAAAGAATGATTCAAAAATTTGGCTGTATCACTGGAATTTTTTTCTAGAGAAAATTTTCAGCATGGGTATGACTAATTTCCCAAGGTGTGGATTTTCTCCCCTGATATACAACTTGCACTAAATGCTTTACCATTAACTCAAGATATGGTAAACGTATTTGTAAATGTCTTTTACCTCTTTGCATACTAAACTAAAAAATCAGTAGTGAGTCAACATATAACTAAATTTGTACAATTTTCAAGTAGATGTTAACATTTAGAAACACATTTTATTCCCTATATTGACTTTAGATCTTTTTTTTTTTATTTTTTTTATTTTTTTTGGAGTCTTGCTCTGTCGCCCAGGCTGGAGGGCAGTGGCGCAATCTCCACTCACTGCAAGCTCCGCCTCCCGGGTTCACCCCATTCTCCTGCCTCAGCCTCCCGAGTAGCTGGGACTACAGGCGCCTGCCGCCACGCCCAGCTAATTTTTTGTATTTTTAGTAGAGACGGGGTTTCACCGTGTTAGCCAGGATGGTCTCGATCTCCTGACCTCGTGATCCGCCCGTCTCGGCCTCCCTAAGTGCTGGGATTACAGGCATGAGACACCGTGCCAGGCCGACTTTAGATCCTTTAAATGCATACATCCCCAGAGACTGGTTTAGGTACTTCAAGAAAGTTATTACACATCCTGGGCCTCATGTAGACTTTTAGTCAAAATGGAAACACTCAAAGCCTCTGAGAGAGATGAGAATCTGTTGTGCGATCCTCTTAAAATTAAAATGCCCCAATGCAACATTTTTCAATTGAAGGGTATAGAATACACACTAGGCATTTAAAACACTGCATTGGGTAAGAAAGGCTTTATGTTGAGCTTTTCCTCTTTTTTAAACTTTGATTTCTCCATTCATACAAAAGCCAGATTTGGTAAAAATCTCAGGCAGTCCTTCCTGTAGATTCAAACCTTCACTCAGGGAAGGGAGACATCTATTGGTGGACAAAATAAAAAATTTAGATCGATCGATCGATCTATCTATCATCTATCTATCCAGATGTATATATATATACATAATATATATAGAATATAGATTATATAGTCTATAAATACATACACAGACATAGATACACATATAAATACATACGTACACACACCACATCCTGTAAACACAAAACAAGTACTCAACCAAAGGCATTTTGTAGATATTAAAAAGGACACAGTTAAAATCTACTTTCTTAATGTGAAGACCATGGCCTGAAGCAGTAAGTTACAAAGGAATGATACAGGCAAGCGCAGTTGGTTCATGTGACGCAGAGAAAATACAGCTCAGCAAACTCTGTGGACGAATTAGGTAATTATACAGTTCGTTTCTCACTAAAAATTCCAATATGATTTCAACTTAGCGAATTCTCATTTTTAATGTGATCTTACTCCAACATAGTAACTACCCCCAGATTATTATTTTGTGTGTGTGTGTGAACCACCGACATTATTTTGTGTCATTTCTAAATTTTATTTTGGTCTCAATCTATGTAAAGATCATCCTGAATTTGTATTTATTCATTCATTTATTTATTTTATTTGAGCCATTAATGCTCAATTGGGTCATGTTTTCTAGCATGGTGTCAGAGTATCACTGGACCTGCTTATGCTGATGTCACTTTCATCTGCTGACTGATCAGTGAAGCAAGAGAGAGAATTTCTTCTGAGCACATGAAGGCCCTGTGCCTTCTTGCTATTTCTCTTTCTTCTCTAAAAAGGAAAGAACAAAAAAAAAATCCTTTCCCCAATCAGCAGTAATCTCTCCAAAGGTCTTTTAATTTCAAAAGTCATAAGTGTTAATTAGCTATTATTAAGTGCCCTCTGTATAAATTAACATGATTGATGAAAAAATTAAGGCTAATGAAAAATGTAGCAATGCATGTATTTTTAAGTGACTATATTAAAAGATGGTGGTCCCTCTGGACAGAAACTAAGGCCCTCTGTTCTGTATCCTGACTTTATTATCTCTTGCTATCTTTCCCCCACCACTTTTTTTTTTTTTTTTTTTGGCACTAGGAAAAAAAATGCTGAATCTTTGACTTTAATTCAGTAGTTTGATCATTTCTTTCTTTTTTTTTTTTTTTTAACTTGGGACACTAAATTTCACACCTTTATTTAACATTGTCCCATGGGGTACAAAGTCCCCTTTTAACACTCTAAGTGGAAGCAAAATGTCATTTCTATTTAGAAAAGATCAAGTCCAACTCCTCTCCAGAGTGGAACTGGGGTGGGAAGCGGCCGATGAGACCACCCTGAGGGGCCCCCACACTGTGGAGCAGAACCAGGAGGGCTGATGAGTCACTGCCTTCCCTCCTTCCATTTCCTTACCTCACTCTTTTGAGTATTTGGGACCTAGTTCAAAATTAACAAAAGTTTTTCACAAAAATTAAAAAAGAACCTACAAACCTATACCTTCTATTGAAAGTTAAATAATGTAAATTCCACACTGACTCTTGCTAGAATTTTTTTACGACGGGTAAGATTGTCACAATGACAACGGGTCCATAAATGAAGATTTGGGGTGTACAATGAGCACCCTGTGACTTAATTCAAAGCAAATATTGGTGAGAAATTTCAAGAATAAAAGGTGTTCAAAAGTCATGAAATAAAATTACCAAAATGTGCAGAAAGAAATAATTGGTCATTTAAAGCTATGAACAGAAATCTTTTCATACAAGGCATGAAATAGATTCTCATCTCCTACAGATAATTAGAAAGGAAGTCACGACAGGTACTCATGATTGTAAACATTTTAAATATGACACTTTGATCCTGGATCGAATCTAACCCTGAGAAGATAAAAATCCCCGCATCGTTCCTTTAAAAGAAAATAGGAAAGCCACTATTTTATGTTCACTTTATAAAGGATTATGGAATTTTGCAAATGTGTAGAACTTCTAATGACATCAAAATAACTTCAGATTTGCACCTCCAAATTTCCTGACATGTTTCTAAATATGCAGAATGTCTTCATGAGGTCCAAACATGATATATAATCTATGCAGGCCATAAGCAAGTTAGCTTGCCTGTCTGCCCATAGTAATGCCTTGGGCAGGTGTGTTTTCATCCTCTATCAATTTCCCGCCCTGCGTCTCATATCAATCTCTCTCTTTATGCATACATAAGAAGCCAGGTGATAGTAAACCCAGCCTCGTGTCTGACCTTTGGGGCAATGTTTACTTTGGCCAACTTGCAGTTGAGACGATTGTGACTTGCATCCCTTCATTCTGTTCCATTGCATTTTTATGTTCTCCGGGAGCTCTGTGCTCTCTGCAGACTGTCATCCATTGTTCAAAGGTGTTCTAGCATGCATGCAGGGGTGACTGGAACAGACGCTGTCGAGGTGGCTGTGCTAATTAGCTCCCTGCCTTTCAGCAGGAGAATGTTCAGCAGCTGAGAGCAGGGCATTTATGAGATGCATTCACAAATCGCTTGTAGGGACAAAAGGAGGAAAGAAAACCCAGTGGTAAAAACCAGAAATGGATTCAAAATCATCTTCATAATTATTGACGATCTATCGTATCAGAAGATGCAACGGCATTCAGTGTTAGAAGGATTTCATGGTTGCTGCCAGCCTCTTTTGCCAAATAAGGAAAGAAGATCCTATTTAAATTAGGAAGCTGTAAAAGACTAAGTTTAATAATGAGGTTTGGAAAAACAAAGTAATTTAGTGCTACTTCTGGTTTTACGTGATTTATAAAGCCTGTAGATCTACAATTGTGCATTATTACTCAAACAAATAGAGCAAGATTGGTGTGGAATGTACTAAATGTCTTTTTCACCTACACAAATCCCTTTAAAAGCAGAAACACCAAACGGCCTTTCATAGAAAGGTTGAGTGATGCACACAATTCTGTTTTTAAAAAAGACCAGATGGGCTGTATTGTGACTTGGCATTCAAATCTGAAAAATGCTTCTTTGTTTTCTCAAATATTTTCATTAACATTTTCCTCCCCAGGGGGTCATAATTAAGTGATCAATGATTTCGCTCTATTGCTACCATGAAAAAGTGGAAGAAAATCTTCCAAAGCAGGAACATACATTTATGCTAAATTTTTGTTTTATTTTAAGTTCCAGGCTAAATGCGCAGGATGTGCAGGTTTGTTACGTAAATAAACATGTGCCATGGTGGTTGCTGCACCTATCAACCCATCACCTAGATATTAAGCCCAGCATGCATTAGCTATTTTTCGTGATGCTTTCCCTCCCCATCTTCCCCACCCCACCTCCAACAGGCCCCAGTATGTGTTGTTCCCCTCCCTGTGTCCATGTGTTTTCATTGTCCAGCTCCCAATTATAAATGAGAACATGTGGTGTTTGGTTTTCTGTTCCTGCATTAGTTTGTTGAGGATAATGGCTTCCAGATTCCTCTATGTCCCTGCAAAGGACATGATCTCATTCCTTTTTATGGCTGCGTAATATTCCATGGTGTATAGGTACCACATTTTCTTTATCCAGTCTATCATTGATGGGCATTTGGGTTGATTCCATGTCTTTGCTATGTGCTAAATTTCACTTAAGTATAATTTAAAATTAAACCTAGAAAAAAACTGAAATTAAAAAAAATTACAGTATGATAAATTATCATGGTGAAAGAACATGTCAATAGAAATCTCAGTTAAGCAAAGAAGGTATCTGTGTCTTGGAAACAGGCAGATCCCAGATGCAAAGCAGAAAGGATGGTTTCTCTTAAATTTCATATTGTTAAACTATACTCAACTGAAATAAGCAGGTAGTTGGATCTGGTGCTTTTCAGTGAGTTTGTTAAGAGTGGTAAAAGTAAAACTCAATGTGCCTTTCTATCTTACCTTCTCACACAGAAACCCTCCTCTCTGGTCAGCCCAAGGTGTCCTTCTGGTGAGCATGAGGTGTCAGGCGGGTGGGACTAGGATGGCATAGACTAATGGGTCTCCACCGGTGATCCCTGGACTGGAAACATCAGCACCACTGGAACTCATTAGAAATGAATATTCTTAGTCCCCACCCTGCCCTACTGAATCAGAAACTCGAGGATGAAGCCCAGCAATCTGTTTTCATGAGCTCTCCAGGTGATGATGTGCTCTCGAGCTGGAGAAGCATTGCTACAGAAAGAATCAGAGAATGGAGGAATGAATGAAGAATCACTATTTCATTTCTGACAACAGATATGAAGTTTAACTGTAGAAAATCGGCCTAAAAGGATAGCACTCTTGAGGACAAAAAGATTTTCTAGATTTCTTTAGCGCTCATATTTAACATTTCAAGGGCTAAGCCAACTGAGTAGGTCATAACATTTTTTATTAGGAAAATAACAAAATTCCACTCCTTGCTACTCAGAGAGACAGTGGAAAGAGAACATCAGACAGAAGAGAGGAAAGAGAAGATATATTTGCCTTGCTATCGCCATCCCGAGACTTCTGCATAGGTGGCCTTTTGAATGCTGGGGACCAGGTGCTGTTGTATAGAGGGTGACGCTTACCAACTGGGGTGGGTCCCACCATAGTTAGGAGGGAAGAATGTTGTGGCCAAGCAGAGGGATGGTCTAGTTTGCATACCCGAGCCATCCCTGATTTCCATATGGAATTCACACTGGATTGAGAGCCAGAGAAGCCATTGGGGCAGAGAATACGGTGAGCCCAAAGGTGAGGCTGCAGGGTGTCTAGCCTGGGACACAGCAGTCACTTGGAAGGGTCTGCAGCATCTTTAAGGGAAGGAGCAGGCTGAGTCCCTGGGGAAGGTCCCAGGTCCCAGTCCTGACCCTAATTAGACCTGGACAAGAGGCACCCAAGGTCAAGTGCCTCAGGCCCCATATTTTAGCAGGCACAGCATGTCACACACACACACATACACACCCACATACACACTCGGGCGAATACATTGGTTAAATAAGGAATAAAAATAAAATATTCAGAATGAAATCATATAAAACTATTATCATGAGTTCATGTCCTTTGCAGGGACATGGATGAAGCTGGAAGCCATCACTCTCAGCAAACTAACACAGGAACAGAAAGCCAAACACCGCATGTTCTCATTAATAAGTGGGAGTTGAACAATGAGAACACATGGACACAGGGAGGGGAACATCACACACTGGGGCCTGTTGGGGGGTGGGGGGGCAAGGGGAGGGAGAGCATTAGGACAAATACCTAATGCATGCGGGGCTTAACACCTAGATGACGGGTTGATAGGTGCAGCAAACACTATGGCACATGTATACCTGTGTAACAAACCTGCACGTTCTGCACATGCATCCCAGACCTTAAGGTAAAATAAATAAATAAATAAATAAAGTAATTATCAAAAATAGTATACACAACCAAGCAAATATAATCGTATTTTATACGGAACGTAGGAATGAAAAACTGGAACATGTGAATCCACCTAATTCTTCCAATGACACTCTCCCAGAGTCATAAAAAGCCAAGTGCCTATGTGGATGGTTTTGTGGGATAAGAACACATGGGCAGCCGGGCGCGGTGGCTCACGCCTGTAATCCCAACACTTTGGGAGGCCGAGATGGGCGGATTACGAGGTCAGGAGATCGAGACCATCCTGGCTAACATGGTGAAACCCTGTTGCTATTAAAAATGCAAAAAAATTAGCCGGGCCTGGTGGCGGGCACCTGTAGTCCCAGCTACTCAGGAGGCTGAGGCAGGAGATTGGCGTGAACCCAGGAGGCAGAGCTTGCAGTGAGCAGAGATCGCACCATTGCACTCCAGCCTGGGCGACACAGCGAGACTCTGTCTCAAAAACCAAAACAAAACAAAACAAAAAAACACATGGCCATCTCCAATGCTTGTGATCCAGTGCCCGGGGCTGGCATGGCATGCCCGCAACCTAACATCTACTCTCGTGACTAGCACCGTCCAGATGCCAGGGATACACCTCACATACTTTGTGATCTCAAAACAAGATGACTGCTTCTCAGTGCTGTTATGGGTTGAGGTGGCCCCACTGCTGAGGTTAAAAGGGGAGATCGCACCACTTCAAAGCAGAGGGGCTTCAAGCAGAAGAAGCACTCGGTGTATGAAATTCTTTCTCTCAGCAGGAATACAATAGAATTATCCTATAAGTGCTAAATGTCCATTTTCTTGCTTCTCTTTATGTTCCAATTTGGAATCCCAGGGGAGCTCAAGGACAAGATCAGTATTCACAACAGATGTGTATGACTCATGGGATGCAGGACTTCAACTGTGTCATGGCAATGATATTCTCGAGAAAAATCATAGCTCGTATACAGTATTTTCTAGATTGGCCTAAAGGAGGGAAAAAATCTTGGTGAAACGCATGTTAACTTTGATATTACAACGACTTTAGTACATACAATGTTAAGTAAATCAACACAAGACGCTCAAGAGAAGATGCTCATATAAAGAATGAATTGAGCCCAGCGTGGTGGCTCATGTCTGTAATCCCAGCACTTTGGGAGGCCGAGGCAGGCAGATCACAAGGTCAGGAGTTTGAGACCAGCCTGACCAACATAGTGAAACCCCATCTCTACTAAAAATACAAAAAATTAGCCAGGCATGGTGGGCATGCGCCTGTGATCCCAGCTACTCAGGAGGCTGAGGCAGGAGAATTGCTTGAAACCAGGAGGTGGAGGTTGCAGTGAGCTGAGATCACACCACTGCACTCCAGCCTGGGCAACAGAGCAAGACTCCGTCAAAAAAAAAAAAAAAAAGTGAATTGCTTTGTACAAACATGAAATTCATTTTTAATTTGCACTGTTCATGGAATGTGGTTGGAACTGTTGCTTGCTATAAATATTAGCACAAACAAAAACTTAACTTTGGTTATTTTATTTTTTAAAGGATCAAAACTTTTTTAATTTTGGAAAAATACAGTTTGCCTAAATTGAAACAGGCTGCATGTGAAATGTAGAAAATTGTAACACTTCAATTAAAAATAAAATTAAAATAAGGAAACAAAACTGCTTGATTGTGAAGAAGATTTATGTAGAAATAATCTCCAAACTATTTCTATAGGCAACATTTTTGGCCCTTATGGATCAAGGCATAGTTTTCACTAAAGAGAGATCTGAACATTTTGAGCAGAGCATAGCTATTTTCATTTTTAAAAATATAATTATCTAAGAATTCAAAAGTTGAAAGAAGAAAAACTGAAGATAAACTATATGGAACAAAAGACCTGGTGATGACCACCTTACTCATGGTGTAAGTAATGATATTAATAAGATGAAATTGAATAATTGATAATGATATCTTCAGCAACAATTTTATTATATCATTATACAACAATTCCATTACAATGTTTCAACATGCATAAAAAAGTCATGGATTCATTCCAAATCAAATATTGCTTTAAAATTTTTATTGACAATTCTGTTTGCTAAACATTCTGCAAAGCAAGATTTCTCCAGATTGAAACTAAGGGAAAATATATACAAAGTATAATGATTCAGGAAATGTTATCTCATTTGGCATTACTATGAATGGAACCAAATTATGAAAATCTTGATCATAAAAATGTAATTAATGATTGTGCTAAAATGAAATCAAGAAAAATAAATCAATGAAATATATAACAAAATTCATTGAATTATGTATTCATTGTATGTCATGTAAATATCAACCCATCAACAGAACACTCAGATGTATAATTATAAATAAATTTGTCAATATTTTACTGACTTTCCAATTTACAAAAGCTATAGTTTTAAACATATTTTTCAATTTTGTCATTATAAAGATATATTTGTCAAGGTAAAGGAATGGAACATATTTAAAAGTGTGTCAGCTTGATTGCTAACTTTTAGGTATTCATATATCATAGCAGCCTTGCCCCCAGCCTTGCAAATGTTTGGGGCAAGCTGGCCAGGCCCTGACCAAGTCTGAGAAACAATAGACCATGAGATTAGCGGCCACAGTTGTCATGGGTGGATACCATAGAATGACCAGGGATAGGGGCACACCAAACATCCCTCAGCAGATGCCAGCCAGAATGCCCCAAGAACCAATATGAGGCTAGGCCACCCCTTCCTCCAAAACCTGGCAGTCATGGGCACCTCTCCTCAGGAACTATATTCCCTCTGCACCATACTGGAAAGCAGCAGAGTGGAATCTAAAAGACTGGTAAAATATAATAAAATCCTAAATTAAACCTCAAAAAAAAGTTAAACGATTGAATCAGATGAAGGGTTTAACTGGATTGTACTGTGTTACCTGTCAGCACCATCATTACCAAGTGCTGATAAGGAAGGTCAGGTTGATGTCTGAAAAATAAGGGAATTAAAATTTCTTTGTATATCCAAATGATAGTGAGAGTAAATAAACCCCACTGCAAGAGTAAATGAAGGCAGGTGGCAGAGGGCGGACAACCACCAAGGGACATTGCTGCTGAAGGCAGGCCCAGTGTGGCAGGAGAAGGGCAGGACACAACCACAGGACTTTCTGTCTTCAGACCCTATTAGACAACTTCCCTTGTTGCAAGCACACAAAGACTTTTACCTTTGATCAGACATCTGTGTTGGCCTCTAACTGGATAGCCCTTGCACTTGACATGGGGGAATGATTTCCTACTTTCACCCCATCTTAGTTCAGATTCTCTTCATTCCTGTGTCCATTCACAAAGAAACAAAACATTAGCCAAAGCAGCTAATTGATTGAGCTCCTAATGTGTGTTTTGTTCTTTCCCCTGTTAATAGAAATTAAAGCTGCTAAGGCAGAAATAATTTGAAGCCAGGCACAGTGGCTCATGCCTGTAATCCCAGCTCTTTGGGAGGCTGAGGTGGGAGGATCACTTGAGGCCAGGAGTTGGAGACCAATCTGGGCAATATGGTAAGACCCTGTTTTAACAAAAAATTAAAAGTACAAAAATAGGGAAAAAAAATTAGCCAGGTGCAGTGGTGCACACCTGCAGTCCTAGCTACTCCTACTCAGGAAGCTGAGGCAGGAGGATCACTTGAACCCAGGAGTTCAAAGCTGGAGTGAGCTATGATTGCACTCCAGCCTGGGTGACAGAGAAAAACCTGCCATAAAGAGAGAGAAAAGGAAGGAAGGAAGGAAGGAAGGAAGGAAGGAAGGAAGGAAGGAAGGAAGAAAGGAAAGAAGGAAGGAAAGAAAGAAAGGAGGGAGGGAGGGAAATGAACAGAAGGCAGGGAAATACTGGGTAGAAGAGGGCTGTTCCCCTGCAAAGGCCCCACCCTCAAGCCTGAGAACCCGAGGCCCTAAATAAGAACAGGCATTCCTGTTTTCATGCCCAAATGTTGCCTTTTGGCCCGCCATGCCCCCACCTCCCATCCTGTGTCCATATAAACCCCTAAACCCCAGGATTCGTGAGGAAAAGAGCAGCAGAGTGGTACGACACAGAAGGAGAAAAGAGAGGAAGCATCTGAACATCCAGAGGAGTTCGGCTAGGGGTGGTCAGAGAAGAGATCGGCTGTGGGATGGCTGAACTCCAGGAGAAGATTATCTTCCCACTCCATCCCCTCTCCAGCTCCCTATCCTGCTGAGAGCCACCTACATCACTCAATAAAATCCCTACATTCTCCATCCTTCAAGCCCTTGTGACCTGATTCTTCCTGGACATTGGACTAGAATTTGGGACGCACTAGGTGCAGGAATCCAAAAAGGCTGTCACACTGACTCTTCACTGAACTGTTTAACACTCAAGCAATCCCCAGACGGCAGGGCTAAAAGAACATTGTAATACACCTAAACACTGCCATGGGACTGGAGCCCAAAAGCACTCGCCTTGGCTCCTGCACCTGCTCACCTGCATGCTTCCCCTCCTGTAAGGGTTTTGAGCACATGGTGTCCAAATAAATGAGCCAAACCCCTGTTGCACATTCTGTGAGGGGGGTCAGGGAACTCTCCTGTTTCAGAAGGAAGGAAGGAAGGAAGGAAGGAAGGAAGGAAGGAAGGAAGGAAGGAAATTAATAAAGTTTTATTGGAACCCAAATGTGAGGATGGGCCCAGGAAAACACACCAACAAAAGTGGGAGTATTCCAGAATCTGTTATAAGTTGGACAGGCTTTCATAGGAGAGTTTAGAAGGGAGGACTCCTCACTCTACAGTTGTCCATTTCCACTGGAGGGCATAATATAGAAACTGCAATCATTGGTTACAGATTGCTACACAGGTGCTAAAATGTCTACCTGTGTGACAATCAGTAAAACCTCATGACTCAGAAATAAATCTGCGTCCTTTGTTCTTTGTCAGTAGGTCTTACATTAATCAGTACGTCAACAATTTGTATCACTCAATATAAGATTCTTTACTCAGGAACTGGGTGTCATCATGAATCACAAGACTTCCCCAAGGTTGGTTAATCTGAAAGCCTGTTTGCTCTTCAAGTAAACTGACAAATGTGATTTGTAGGTTATCACCACTATATGTATACTTTCCTCTTCCAGGTGATCAATGTAGACTGGAACAGAGGACACTTCCCTAAATGTTCTGCAGTGCTGAAGCACCCTCTCCTAAATTTTTATGCAGCATGAGGGAGACCCACTAATGAATCTGTCTGTGGAGCAGGATTAACTGGAAATTAATTGCATTAAAGAAAGAAATACGGTGAGGTTTTTTTGCATCTTAGCATTTTGGACTTTTGGACTAAAATGTGTATCCGCTACTTATCATTCACATTACAGGAGACTCCTAAAGACTGAGAAGCGCTTAAGTCCAACAGTAGGGAGTGAGGTACAATTGGGTGAAGGCGGTGGGTGGAAAACTCTCTGAATCAAAGCACATAATTGGTCCTATTTGCTCCTAACTTAAAAAAAAAATCCATGCTGCAAAACAAATGCCTTTGCAATACAATCTCAAATAGAACGTTAGGACTAATTGGCTCATTCCAAGGGCTCCAGATATAATAAGCAAATGTGTTGACAGGATATTCCTCCCATCTTTTTTGTTGTTTCTTTTTTCCCTTTGCAGCCTGGAAATGTTTAGAAATCTAGTTGGCATAATAAACAAACAAACAACTAAAAGCAGCAGTCATCTTCATTTTTAGTACTGAAAATGTAAACCCTGAACTTTAAACACAAAAGAAATCAAAGTGAATAAAAACAGACTGTGGAGCCAGGCTGATTAATAAACAGCTCAGTACATAATGAAGAAGGAATTGCATGAATCAAATCCCCAAGACAGTCTAGTCTAGAGTGTATTCTTTCAATTATAAAATGAGCCCTTAAAACAACAACATATGTGATCATTAAAATGGTTTCTTATTATGAACACAGCATTCAAATGAATTTCAGCATTTGCTTTTTAAAAACTTAAAAGAACAATTCTAAATGGTGGTGCGGAAACAGCTTGCAACTTTGATGTAATAATAATGTTTATCTGGTTTTCTTTCAGACTTCTTTTAGAAAGAAATGTTTTAAGAAACCACGACTATACAGATTTGGGGAAGAAAATTTGGAAGAGCTAAGAAACCTGAGGACTACCATGTGCTAATAGTACATATTAAAATCCTAAAGTGTGGAGAATCCTAAGAGATCCTAATTAAGCCTTTGCAAATTACAATTTCTCTGGAAGAGGCAGAGAGCAAGAAACAATTGCTGGAATTTTTATGAAGGGCTTTAAAAAAAAGCTGTGTAAATAAATACAGGATTGTATCTGGAAAATGGCACAACGGAAGAAGAACCAGAATAGGAAAACGCTGTCAAGAAAATCAATTAAAGCTAAGAGATGTCAGTGGCAGAAAGGAAGATTGCATTTGCAATAAAGGGAATAGCTACATGAAAATAGAAAGAGAAAGAGGGAAATGATAGTTCAAGCAGTGAACTGAGTGTTTATGGTCCTCCAAAATTCACACATTGAAATCTTAACCTCCAAGATGATGGCATGAGGAGGTGGGGCCTTTGGGAGGTGGTTAGGTTATGTGGGTGAAGCCCTCATAATGAGATCAGTGCCCTTATAAAAGAGGCCCTAGAGGGCTAGCCACTCCCTTCCATGTGAAGACACAGAAAGAAGGCACCATCTATAAACCAGGAAGCCGGCCCTCACCAGACACCAAATCTGCCAGTGCCTTGATCTTGGACTTCCCAGCCCAACTATGAAAAACAAATTTCTGTTGTTTATAAGCCACCTAGTCTATGGCATTTTGTTATAGTAGTCCTAATGGACTAAGATAGTCCATTAATGTCTACAACAATAAGCTCTATTTTTTAATGGAATTATTCTTTTTGTTTTCCTTGAGCCTTTCTTAATTTTAATAGATTTTTCTAAAAATGCTGTTAGTATAAGTTGGAACCTACTAGTTAATATGGAGATATTAAATGAATGTCACTATTATTAAGGAAGAGAAACATCATCAGTTGCATCAATTAGTATAATAAAACAGGAGAGTTTTTAAAATGAACTATTACCACCTTCCTTGGTGCATCTATTATGATGTGGACCAGAATGCATAAATAGACCCTGTGCACCACTGCTACATCTGCTTAGCTTGCTTAGAAGTTCACTTCCTCCACAGTCCAAAAGAGGGACCAGGGTCTCATGCAGGAGTAGAGAAAATTCATGCTATCTCCATGTTCAGATTTCTAGAATGTAAGACTTTTGCTCGGCCAAACACTTAACTCTCACACTTGCCATCTATATCATGAAATATCAGCATTACAGCTTCATTGCTCAGCTTCAGGTTTTGAATAGGTTACCATGCAAACTCTTCATCTAACCTGTTATCAGTCAGTTGCACTTCAGTGTGAATGAACTTATCAAGTCCTTTGCTAACAGCAGGTTTTCAAGAGAGAGAAGACAGCCTGAGGACAATGGACAGCAACCAAATGGGACTAGAAAGACATCAGAAGTGACCAAACCAACAAAACTTCCATTCATTTTGTGAAGCAACTTCCACGACTCTCTAAATCTTTATCCTAGAAATAGTTTGCCAGGACAGAAACAGAAGCTAGCCACTCCCAAAGCTGTGGCTTCCTAATGTCAGCTAAACACATCTCAAGGTCTCTCCCAAGGATGAGTGTTGCAGGAAAGTCACTAGTGGACTAATATCAACCGAGGGCTTCCAAGACGCAGGCCCTGTGTGCAAGGCAGTGAGAGCAGGAGATGAAAAGACAGGGTCATCCACCTCAAAGAGCTTAACACCCACTACAGAAAAATGGTAAATTAAACTAACTTCAAAATAGAAGCAGAGTGGGAATGCAAAAGAAATATGTCCTGATAATTCTTGTGGGATTGTAGTATTATAGAATTCAATAGGTGTGACATAGAAAAATAAATAGGGTCGAGCTATTTATTCTCAATAATCCACTCTTTGGCAAGAAAGTATACCACTTGCTTCGAGATTCCAAGAGGCACCAGAGGTAAAACTTAATTATAAAATCAAGAACTATCCTAATGAGAAAGAGAAGATATATGTGTGTATGGAGGGAGAGGGGGTGGCAGTGGGTGAGACCATTTAAGGAAACCAGTATCTTGACAGGGAGCTTCCCTGTGAGCTCAAAATCTGTAGGCAGTTCAGAGAAAAAGAAACACAAATGACTTTTAAACATGAGAAAAAAATGTTTAAGTGATATTCACAGATCACGTAAAATACACGTGGAAACAATACCACCACCAGTGATCTGGCTGTCAAAAGTCATAAAGTGTGATACAATACATTGGGTGGGGGGCTAGGACATGGGAATATTTGGCATATTCATTACAATATTGGCAGGCATATAAACTGGAATACTCTTTATGGAAGGCAATTTGACACTCTCAAGATATAGAATACTTTCATCACCACAAGGATCCCTCGTGTTAGCCTTTTATAGCCATTCCATCGCCCTCCCATCCCCATCCTCTTCCTAACTCCTACAAATACTAATCTGTTCTCCATCTCTATAATTTTTGTCATTACAAGGATATTATATACATGGAATAATACAGTGTGTGAAACCTTTTGAGATTGACTTTTTTCCCTTTCAGTATAATTCTCTAGAAATTTATTCAAGTTTTTTTGTTGTTGTTTTTTGTTTGTTTGTTTTTTGAGACGGAGTTTTGCTCGTTGGCCTCGTTGGAGTGCAATGGCGTGATCTTGGCTCACTGCGACCTCTGCCTCCTGGGTTCAGGCCATTCTCCTGCCTCAGCGTCCAAGTTGCTGGAATTATAGGTGCCCGCCACCACACCTGGCCAACTTTTTGGATTTTTAGTAGAGACGGAGTTTTGCCATATTGTCCAGGCTGGTCTCAAACTCCTGACCTCAGGTGATCCACCTGCCTCGGCCTCCCAAAGTGCTGGGATTACAGGCATAAGCCACCGCGCCCAGCCTCAAGTTGTATTTTAATAGTGTGTTTCATGTTCTTTTCATAGTTCTTTTTATTCCTGAGAAATATTTTGTGGCATCAATGTACCATAGTTTGTTGAACAATTCACCCATTGAAGGATATATGGGTTATTGTCAGTTTCAGGATATTATGAATAAAGATTCTATAAACAATTGCTTAAAGAAATTCACAATGTTTTGTGAAAGTAAGTTTTCATTTCTCTGGGATAAATGCCCAGGACAGCAATCACTCAATCATATAGCAGTTGCATGCTTAGGGTTTTAAGAAACTGCCCAACTTTTTCAGAGTGGCTGCACCATTACATTCCTACTGTATGAGAGATCCAGTTTCTCCATACCTTAGCTAGCATTTAATGTTAGCCTTTTATTTTATTTTATTTATTTTAGCCTTTCTAACAGGTTTTAATTTTGGTTTCCATAATGGCTGGTGATGTTGAACATAATTTCAGGTGATTTTCCATCTGTAATCCTGCCTGATGAAATATTTATTCATATCTCTTCATGTCTTTTGCCCATTTTCTAATCGAAATGTTTATTACTGTTGAGGTTGTTTGTTTGTTTGTTCTAGAGATGGGATCTCATGCTGTCCCCAGGGCTGGAGTGGTGCAATCATAACTCCCTGCAGCCTCAAACTCCTGGGCTCAAGCAATCCTCCTGCCTCAGCCTCCCAAATAGCTGGGACTACAGGTGCTTACCACCATGCCCAGATTTTTACTGTTGAGTTTTGAGATTTATTTATATACCCCAGCCCTGAAGAGCTAGTCTAGACATAGTCATTTGTTGAACATGTGGTTTGCAAGTATTTCCCCCAGTCTGAAACCTGTCTTTTCATCATAAGAGAGACTTTTGCAGGCAAAATTTCTAATTTTGATGAAGTCTAATTTATCTACTCTTCTTTTTATGAATTATGTTTGGTCTCAGGTATAAGAACACTTTGCCTAACCCTAAATCCTAAAGATTTTCTCTCATTATTTTTCTAAAAGTTTTTGTTGTCATTGTCATTGTTGTTGTTTTTAGAGACAAGGTCTCTCTCTGTCGCCCCAGGCTAGAGTTCAATAGTGTGATCACAGCTTGTTGTAACCTCATACTCCTGGGCTTAAATGATCCTCCTCCCTCAGCCTCCAAGTACCTAGGACTACAGGCATGAGCCACCACAGCTGGCTAATGTTTTAAATTTTTTTTGGAAAGATGGGGTTTCACTATGTTGCCCAGGGTGATCTTGAACTTCTGGCCTCAAGCAATTCTCCCAACTTGGTCTCTCAAAGGACTGGTATTACAGGCATGAGCCATCTTGCCCTGCCTAAAAGTTTTACGATTTTACATTTTCATTTAAGCCTATGATCCTTTTTAAAAAATTTTTTAAATATAAAATACGAGGCTTAGGTCAAGCTTTTTGGTCTCTGTTTTTTGTTTTTTTGCCTATGGTTGTAGAATTCACATTTTTCTCATCTGCACATAGAATATTCTCCAGGATAGATCATATGTTGTTAGGTCACAAGTCTTAACAAATTAAAAATATATATATATTAAGTATCTTTTTGACCATAATAGAATAAAACTAGAAATCAACAACAGGAAGAACTTTGAAAATTATACAAATACATGGAGATTAACTAACATACTCCTAAACAATCAATGGGTCACTGAATAAATTTAAAAATTTTTTGAGATCATTGAAAATGGAAACACAGCATACCAGAACTTATAGGATTCGGCAAAGCCGTCCTTAGAGAGGAGTTTACTGCAAAAAATGCCCTACATCAAAAACGAAGAAAGATTTCACATAAACAACCTAACAATTCATCTCAAAGAACTAGATAAACAAACTAAACCCAAAATTACTATAAGGAAAGAAATAATAAAGATCAGAGCACAAATAAATAAAACAGATGCTAAAAAGATAATATAAAAGATCAACAAAACATAGTTGTTTTTTTGAAAAAAATTAACAAAATTGACAAACCCTTAGCCAGACTAAGAAACAAAAGAGAAGACTCAAATAAATAAAATCAGAGATAAAAAGGGAGACATTACAACTAACAACACAGAAATAAAAAGGATTATAAGAAACCACCACGGGGGCAGGGCCAAGATGGCCAACTGGAAGCAGTGGCATTCAGAGGCTCCCATCAAAAAAAAGCTATAAGGGTGTGAATCCCTCATCACCAAACAAAGTATCCAGGTTCCCTCTTCAAAATTGACTAGAAGGCTGGTACGACCCACAGAGAGAAGGAAGAACAGTGTGGTGCGTCGGCCCACCTGAGAACCACATGGGGTAGGAGTACCCCCTCCCCCCAGCCAAGGGAGGTGGTGAGTGAGCACGCTACACAGCCAGGGAAACTGTGCTTCTTCCATGGAACTGTGCAACCCACAGATTGGAAGATCCCACTCACGAACCCACGCCACCAGGGCCTAGCATCCCAACCCTAGAACATGCAGATTCCCTCAGCCTCTCAGCTGGAATCTACTTAAGCCTACCCAGCTCCTGGGGAGAGGGGTGACCAGCACCACAGCTGCAGCTGCCTGCTGTCTAAGCAGTTTTAGCTCCTTGGAGGAAGGGCAGCAGCCAGCACTGGGACTCGCAACTGCGTAACTCACTAAGATCTCTAGGTGGGGGAAGGGTGACAGCCATCTCCATAGATCCAGTCTGCACTTCTCCACTGCTAGAGCCAGGGAGGCTAGATTTGGTCCCAAGACTTGTCCCCACAGCCCAACACACCGGCTGTGGCAGTCTACAGCCAGAGCACCTCTTCAGGTCTTACCCTGACCCATCCTTCCTCACTGGGCAGGGCTTCCCTGCAGGAGAGCCAGTAACACCAGCCAGAGGCTCAGGGACAGACTCTGGATCTACCTGGGCCTGATCCCCTAGGAGGAGGGGTGGCCGCAGTCTCTGTAGACCAGCCAACTTAGCCTCTCTTCCTGGTAGTTCTGAGGAATCCAGGCAGCCCAGATGAGTGGGTTTCCCCCCAGGGAAGCACACCCCCTCCAACAAGGGGCAAAGTACTTCATTAAATGGGTCCTGTTCCCTGTGCCACCCAACTAGGTGAGACCCTCCAACAGGGGTTGTCAGACACCCTACACTGGAGTGATCTTACTGGTATCAGATTGGTGCCCCTCAAGGTCAGAGTTCCCAGAAGAAGGAGCAGGCACCCACCTTTACTGTTCTCCAGTCTCCTTGAGTAATATCTCCAGGCACAGGAGTAAATCAGATGAATAGGGCCTGAAGTGAACCCCCAGCAAACTGCAGCAGCCCTACAGAAGCGGGACCTGACTATTGAAAGAAAAGCAAACAAGCAGAAAGCAACAACAACAGCATCAACAACAAAAAAGCTGCCAAAAAAAAAACCCCATGCAAGAGTCAGCAGCCTCAAAGACCAAAACTAGACAAACTCATGAAGATGAGAAAGAATCAACAAAAAATGCTGAAAACCCAAAAGGCCAGAGTGCCTCTTTTCCTCCAAATGACTGCAACGTCTCTCCTTCAAGAGCACAGAACTGGATGGAGAATCAGATGGACAAACTGACAGAAGTAGGCTTCAGAACATGGGTAATAAAAAAAACTATGCTGAGCTAAAGGAGCATGTTCTAATCCAAGGCAAAGAAGCTAAGAACCTTGATAAAAGGTTAGAGGAATTACTAACTAGAACAACCAGTTTAGAGAGGAACATAAATGACCTGATGGAGCTGAAAAACACAGCATGAGAACTTCATAAAGCATACACAAGTAGCAACAGCTGAATCAACCAAGCAGAAAAAAAGATATCAGAGTTTGAAGACTACCTTGCTGAAATAAGGCATGCAGACAAGAATAGAGAAAAAAGAATGAAAAGGAATGAACAAAGCCTCCAAGAAATATGGGACTTCATAAAAAGACCAAACCTATAATTGATTGGAGTACCAGAAGGAGATGGGGATAATGGAAACAAGGTGGAAAACACACTTCAGGATTATCCAGGAGAACTTCTCCAACCTAGCAAAACAGGCCAACATGCAAATTCAGGAAACACAGAGAACACCACTAAGATACTCCACAAGATCAACCACAAGACAAATAATCATCAGATTCTCCAAGGTCGAAATTAAGGAAAAACTCTTAAGGGCAGCCACAGAGAAAACCCAGGTCACCTACAAAGGGAAGCCCATCAGACTAATGGTGGACCTTTCAACAGAAACTCTACAAGCCAGAAGAGATTGGGGGCCAATATTCAATATTCTTAGAGAAAAGAATTTTCCCCTCAGAATTTGATATCCAGACAAACTAAGCTTCATAAGTGAAGGAGAAATAAAATCCTTTCCAGACAAGCAAATGCTGAGGGATTTCATTACCACCAGGCCTGCCCTGCAAGAGTTCCTAAAAGAAGCACTAAATATGGAAAGGAAAAACCAGTCCCAGCCACCACAAAAAACACATGAAAATATGTTTTCCATGCCATATTAGTACCATAGTACCAATGACATTATGAAGAAACTGCATCAACTAGTGTGCAAAATAACCAAATAGCATCATGATGACTCGATCAAATTCACACATAACAATACTAATCTTAAATGTAAACGGGCTAAATGCCCCAACTAAAAGACACAGACTGGCAAGTTGAACAAAGAGTCAAGATCCATCGGTGTGTGGTGTATTCAGGAGACCCATCTTACATGCAAAGACACACATAGACTCAAAATAAAGGGATGGAGGAAAATTTAACAAGCAAATGGAAAGCAAAAATAAAAGCAGGGGTTGCAATCTTAGTCTCTGACAAAACAGACTTTGAACCAACAAAGATCAAAAAAGCCAAAGAAGGGCATTACCTAATGATAAAGGTAACAATTAAACAAGAAGAGCTAACTATTCTAAATGTATATGCACCCAATACAGGAGCATCCAGATTCACAAAACAAGTTCTTAGAGACCTACAAAGAGACTTAGACTCCCACACAATAATAGTCGGAGATGTTAACACCCCATTGTCAGCATTAGACAGATCAACCAGACAGAAAATTAACAAGGATATTCAGAACTTGACCTCAAATCTGGATCAAGTGGACCTAGTACATGTCTACAGAACTCTCTACCCCAAATCAACAGAATATACATTCTTCTCAGGGCCACATGGCACTTATTCTAAAATTGGCCACATAATTGGAAGTAAAACACTCCTCAACAAATGCAAAAGAACTGAAATCATAACAAACAGTCTCTCAGACCACAGTACAATCTAATTAGAACTCAGGATTAAGAAACTCACCCAAAACCACACAATTACATGGAAATTGAGCAACCTGCTCCTGAATGACTCCTGGGTAAATAGTGAAATTAAGGCAGAAATCAAGAAGTTCTTTGAAATCAATGAGAAGAAAGAGACGACATACCAGAATCTCTGGGACACAGCTAAAGCAGTATTAAGAGGGAAATGTATAGCACTAAATGCCTGCATCAGAAAGCTAGAAAGATCTCAAATGGACACCCAAACATCAAAATTAAAAGAGCTAGAGAGGCAAGAGCAAACTAATCCAAAAGGTAGCAGAAGACAAGAAATAACTAAGATCAGAGAAGAATTAAAGGAGATGGAGACATGAAAAACCCTTCAAAAAAATCAATGAATCCAGGAGCTGTTTTGTTTTGTTTTGTTTTGTTTTGTTTTGTTTTTGAGACAGTCTCACTCTGTCACCCAGGCTGGAGAGCAGTGGCGTGATTTTGGCTCACTGCAAGCTCTACCTCCCGGGTTCACGCCATTCTCCTGCCTCAGCCTCCAGAGTAGCTGGGACTACAGGCACCCGCCACCACGCCCAGCTAATTTTTTTGTGTTTTCAGTAGGGACGGGCTTTCACCGTGTTAGCCAGGATGGTCTCGATCTCCTGACCTCGTGATCCGCCCACCTCAGCCTCCCAAAGTGCTGGGATTATAGGCGTGAGCCACCGCGACCAGCCCAGGTGGTTTTTAAAAAATTAACAAAATAGACCACTAGCTATGCTAATAAGAAGAGAGAGAAGAATCAAATAGACACAGTAAAAAATGATAAAGGAGAATCACCACTGGCCCCACAGAAATACAAACTACCATCAGATAATACTATAAACACCCCTATGCAAATAAACTAGAAAACCTAGAAGAAATTAATGAATTCCTGGACAATACAGCCTCCCAAGACTAAACCAGGAAGAACTTGAATCTCTGAATAGACCAATAACAAGTTCTGAAATTGAGGCAGTAATTAATAGCTTACCAACCAAAAAAAGCCCACGACCAGACGGATTCACAGCTGAATTCTACCAGAAATACAAAGAGGAGTTCGTACTCATCCTTCTGAAACTATTCCAAACAATTGAAAAAGAAGGACTCCTCCCTAACTGATTTTATAAAGCCAGTATTATCCTGATACCAAAACCAGGAAGAGACACACAAAAAAAGGAAATTTCCGTTGGGTGTGGTGGCTCACACCTGTAATCCCAGCACTTTGGGAGGCCAAGGCAGGCAGATCTCGAGGTCAGGAGGTCGAGACCATCCTGGCTAACACAGTGAAACCCCGTCTCTACTAAAAATACAAAAAAAAAAAAAAGCTGGACATAGTGGCGGGCACCTGTAGTCCCAGCTACTCGGGAGGCTGAGGCAGGAGAATGGTGTGAACCCGGGAGGCAGAGCTTACAGTGAGCCGAGATTGCGCCAGTGCACTCCAGCCTGGGTGACAGAGCGATACTCTGTCTCAAAAAAAAAAAAAAAAAAAAAGGAAATTTCAGGCCAATATCCCTGATGAACATTGATGCAAATATCCTCAATAAAATACTGGCAAACCGCATCCAGCAGCACATCAAAAAACTTATCCACCACGATCAAGTTGGCTTCATCCCTGGGATGCAAGGCTGGTTCAACATATGCAAATCAGTAAAGGTAATCCATCACATAAATAGAACAAAAGATTAAAACCACATGATTATCTCAATAGATGCAGAAAAGGCCTTTGATAAAATTTAACATCCCTTCATGTTAAAAACTCTCAATAAAATAGATATTGATAGAACATATCTCAAAATAATAAGAGCTATTTATTACAAACCCACAGCCAATATCATATTGAATGAACAAAAGCTGGAAGCATTCCCTTTGAAAACCCGTACAAGACAAGGATGCCTTCTCTTAACACTCTTACTCAATATAGTATTGGAAGTTCTGGGCCAGGGCAGTAAGGCAAGAGAAAGAAATAAAGGTATTCAAATAGGAAGAGAGGAAGTCAAATTGTGTTTGTTTGCAGATGACATGATTTTATATTTAGGAAACCCCATCATCTCACTCAAAAACTCCCTGAACTGATAAGCTACTTCAGCAAAGTCTCAGAACACAAAATCAATGTGTAAAAATCATAAGCATTCCTTTACACCAACAATAGACAAACAGAGAGCCAAATCATGAATGAACTTCTATTCATAATTGCTACAAAGAGAATAAAATACCTAGGAATACAGCTAACAAGGGATATGAAGGACATCTTCAAGGAGAACAACAAACCACTGCTCAAGGAAATAAGAGAGGACACAA
This sequence comes from Homo sapiens, assembly GCF_000001405.40. NCBI lineage: Eukaryota > Metazoa > Chordata > Mammalia > Primates > Hominidae > Homo > Homo sapiens. The sequence goes on along the minus strand of NC_000006.12, from coordinate 8,310,329 downwards.
ATGGAAAAACATTTCATGCTGATGGATAGGAGGAATCAATATCATGAAAATGGCCATACTGCCCAAAGTAATTCACAGATTCAATGCTATTCCCATCAAACTACCATTGACATTCTTCACAGAATTAGAAAAAAACTATTTTAAATTTCATATGGAATCAAAGAAGACCCAGTATAACCAAGACAATCCTAAGCATAAAAAACAAAGCTGGAGGCATCATGCTACCTGACTTCAAACTATACTACAAGGCTACAGTAACCAAAACAGGATGGTACTGGTACCAAAACAGACATATAGACCAATGGAGCGGAACAGAGACCTCAGAAATAACACCACACATCTACAACCATTTGATCTTCAACAAACCTGACAAAAACAAGCAATGGCGAAAGGATCTCCTAGTCAGTAAATGGTGCTGGGAAAACTGAAACTGGACCGCTTCCTTACACCTTATACAAAAATTAACTCAAAATGGATTAAAGACTTAAATGTAAAACCCAAAATCATAAAAACCCTTGAAGAAAATCTAGGCAATACAATTCAGGACATAGGCATGAGCAAAGACTTCATGACAAAAACGCCAAAAGCAATTGCAACAAAAGCCAAAATTGACAAATAGAACCTAATTAAACTAAAGTGTTTCTGCACAGCAAAAGAAACTATCATCAGAGTGAACAGGCAACCTACAGAAAGGGAGAAAATTTTTGCAACCTACCCATCTGACAAAGGTCTAATATCCAGAATTTACAAGGAACTTAAACATATTTACAAGAAAAAGACAAACAACCCCATCAACAAGTGGGCAAAGGATACAGACACTTCTCAAAAGAAGACATTTATGCAGCCAACAAACATATGAAAAAAAGCTTAACATCACTGATTATCAGGGAAATGCAAATCAAAACCACAATGAGATAACATCTCAGGCCAGTCAGAATGGTGATTAGTAAAAAGTCAGGAAACAATAGACGCTGGTGAGGCTGTGGAGAAATAGGAATGCTTTTACACTGTTGGTAGGAATGTAAATTAGTTCAACCATTGTAGAAGACAGCGTGGTGATTCCTCAAGGATCCAGAACCAGAAAAACCATTTGACCCAGCAATCCCATTACTGGGTATATATATCCAAAGGAATATAAATCATTCTGCTATAAAGACACATGCACACATAAGTTTATCGCAGCACTATTTACAATAGCAAAGACATAGAACCAACCCAAATGCCCATCAATGACAGGCTGGATAAAGAAAATTTGGTATATATACACCATGGAATACTATGCAGTCATAAAAAGGAATGAGGTTATGTCCTTTGCAGAGACATGGATGAAGCTGGAAGCCATCATCCTCAGCAAACTAACACAGGAACAGAAAACCAAACACCATATGTTCTCACTCATAGTGGGAGTTGAACATTAAGAACACATGGACACAAAGAGGGGAACAACACACACCAGGGCCTGTTGCAGGGTGGAGGGTGAGGGGAGGAAACTTAGAGGATGCGTCAATAGATGCAGCAAACCACCATGGCACATGTATACCTATGTAAAAAACTTGCACGTTCTGCACACGTATCCTGTGTTTTTTTAGAAGAAATAAAAATTAAAAAAGAAGCTACTATGAACAATTTTATACCAACAAATTGGGAAATCTAGAATAAATGAATAAATTCCTGGATACATACAACCTATCAAGATTGAATCAAGAAGAAATAGAAAATCTAAACAGATGAATAATAAGTAACAAGATTAAAGCCATAATAAAAAGTCTCCCCTCAAAGAAAAGTCCAGGACCTGATGGTTTTACCGCAGAATACTGCAAAATATTTAAAGAAATAATACCAATTCTTCACAAAATATTCTAAAAATTGAAAAGGAGGAAACGCTTCCAAATTCATTCTACATGGCCAGCATAACTCTGATACCAAAACCAAACAAAAACACAACAACAACAACAAACTACAAGCAAATATTCCTGATGAACATGGATGCACGGATTCTCAACAAGATGCTAGTGGTCAGAATTTGACAGCACATTAAAAACATCATTCACCATAATTCAGTAGGATTCATCCCAAGGATGGTTTAACATATGCAAATTAATAAATGTGATATACCACAACAGACAGAATAAATGACAGCAACCATATGATCATTTCAACAGATACCAAAAAGGCATTTGACAACAGTCAACATTCTTTCATGATGAAAACGCTCAACAAATTGGGCACAAAAGAAGCATACCTCTTCCAGTTAAATGGCTTGTTAAAAAAAAAATACCTCAACATAATAAAGACCATATATGATAAACTCACAGCCAACATTATACTAAATGTGGAAAAGTTGTAGCTTCTCCTCTAAGATGTGAAACAAGACAAGGATGACCACTTTTAACAGTTATAGTACTGGGAGCAATTAGGCCAGAGGAAGAAATAAAAGGCATCCATATTGGAGAGGAGAAATTAAATTGTCCCTGTTTGAAGACGATATGATCTTATATTTAGAAAATCCCAAAGACTCCAGAAAAAAACTATTAGAACTGATAAACAAATACAGTAAAATGGCAGAATATAAAATCAACATAGAAAAATCAGTAATGTTTCTAGACTTTACCACAATGCAATATATCAATGTAGCAAAATTGCACTTGTACCCCATGATAATATACACAAATTTTTAAAAATAAGATTTTAAAAACAAAGATCACAGATCACAGAGCACTATAACAGATATAATAATAATGAAGAATTTTGAAATATTATGAGACTTACCAAATGTGGCACAGAGACATGAAGTGAGCACATGCTGTTGGAAAATGGTACCAATAGACTTGCTCAATGCAGCGTTCCACAAACCTTCAATTTATCAAAATGCAGTACCTGTGAAGCAAAATTAAGCAAAGTGTAATAAAATGAAACAGGTCTTAAAAAATCAGTAATGTTTATATATGCTAATAGTGAACTATGTGAAAAAGAAATCAAGAAATCAATCCCATTTACAATAGCTACAAAAAAATACCTAGGAATAAATCTAACCAAAAAAGTGAAAGACCTCTATAATGAAAACTGTAACATATTAATTTTAAAAATTGGAAAGGACATGAATAAATGGAAAGCTATTTCATGTCCATGAAAGAGTTAATATTGTTAAAATGTCCACACTATCCAAAGTGATATACAGATTCAATGTGATCCTATCAAAATTCCAGTGACACTCTACAGAAATAGAAATAGCAATTCTAAAATTTTTATGGAACTGCAAAAGGCCCTGACTAGCTAAAGCAACCTGAACAAAAAGAACAAAGCCAGAGGCATCACACTATTGATTTCAAAATATACTACAAACCTATATACCATGTAACCAAAACAGCATGGTACTGGCATGTAGACTAATAGAACAAAATAGTGAGCCCAGAAGTAAATCCATGCATTTACAGTCAACTGGATTTTTACAAAGGCACCAAGAACACACAAGGGAAAAAGGACAGTCTCTTCAACAAACAGTGCTGGGAAAACTTGATATTCACATGTGAAAGTATAAAATTAGACCCCTAGCTGTCCCCATGTACAAAAATCCACTCAAAATGGATTAAAGACTCAAATATAAGACCCGGAACTATGAAACTACTAAAAGAAAACATCAGGGAAACATGACATTGGTCTAGGCAACAATTTTTTTTTTTTACAAGAACTCAAAAGCACAAGCAACAAAAGCAAAAGTAAACATATGTAATTACATCAAACTAACAAGCTTCTGCACCACAAAGAAAACCATCAACACAGTGAAGAAACAACCTACAGAATGGGAGAAAATATTTGAAAATTATGTATCTGACAAGGAATTAATATGTAGAATTTATAAGGAACTCAAACTCAAAAGCAAAAATAAATAATCTGATTTTTAAATGAGCAAAACACCTAAATAGATGTATCTCCAAAGAAGACATATAAATGGCCAGTAAGTATATGAAAAATGCTCACATCATTAACCATCAGGTAAAGACAAATCACAGCCACAATAAGAAATCATTTCACCCCAGTTAGAATGGCTACTATCAAAAAGACAAAAAAAACAGCAAATGCTGGCAAGGATGTGGAGAAAGAGGAACCCATATACACTGTTGGAGGGAATGTAAATTTGTACAGCAATTATGGAAAACAGTATGGAGGTTTTTCAAAATGTTAAAAATAGCTCTTCTATAAGAACCAGCAATCCCACTACTGGGTATATGTCCAAAGGAAATAATATCAGTATGTACATCTATAATCTCCCGTTTATTGCAGCACTATTCACAATAACCAAGACATGGAATTAATCTAGGTGCCCATCAATAGATGATGGACAAAGAAAATGTGGTATATACACACAACGGAATACTATTCAACCGTAAGAAAGGATGGAATCCTGTCATTTGCAACAACCTATATTAGCCTAGAGGACATTACGTTAAGTGAAATAAGCCAACCACAGAAAGACAAATACTGCATGTGGAATCTAGTATTGTGGAATTGAGATTCTCACTCATGTGGAATCTAAAAAAAATGATCTCATACAAGTCGAGAGTAGAATAGTGGTTACCAGCAATGGGGGAGAATAGGGAGAAGGGAGAGATGGGGAGATGTTAGTCAATGGGTACAATGTTACAGTTAGGAGGAATAAGTTATTATATTCTATTCACAGTAGGTTACAACAATGTACTATATATTTCAAATAGATAGAAAAGAGGATTTTGAATGTCCTTACAACAAAGAAATGATAAATGTTTAAGGTAATTGATATGCAAATTATAATGATTTGATCAGTATACATACATGTATTGGAATACCACATTGTACCCCATAAATGTGTACAATTATTATGTGTCGATTTAAAAAATAAAAATATATTTAAAAAATAATTTGAGGAATTAAAAATTTAGCCAGTTCCAGAACCACGCCCCCACCAACACATGGAGGAAATTAACACTTCTGTTTCCCATTCCAGAACTTTGCCATGCCTGCTATAATCTTCCCTTCCCAAGGATATGATGGTTCTTTGGCTTTCCAAACCAACACAGCTAGTGACTGAAGTCTAAGATCTCTGAGAACAACAGAGAAACCAAACTGCCACCATGAAGGTGTTGCCAGGAACAAACAACACACGAGCAGCTTTGCCTCTTCCAAGTTTTACATAAGTGCACCTGATTTTCAAAACCTAAATCTCACTTGGAATATCAGTGCAAGGATGTCTAGAAAATCTGCTTTTACCTCGCCAGCCTCTTCAGCACATGTGGGAACATTTGACAGATGGATGAGTGTTGACAGCCAAGCCTATGCCCAATACAAAGGCTCCTTCACAGCACTCGCCCATCTCATAACAATATATTTGAATGATCCACATTTATCTTCGATGCTTGATGGCTAGGTTTAAGGGGTTTTTTTCCACGCACAAATGGTCTGATACGGAGCTAGAGATAGTCCACGACTTTTGTTTTGGTTGCATATTTATTGAGTAGGATATTGGACTTGATCTCCAATTGCCCTTTACCCTAATAAAGCAGGTATAGAGGGAGCAATGTGTGATTTTATGGAGTTTTATTCCATTTTTAGTCCTGAAATTACTAGCTAATATTAAAATCAGGCTAACCTGGGGCCTTTTTGTCCAAATATCTTCCTTTTTTATTCTTTAATGAAGATAATTCATCTGAAATCCCAAACACATGGTTTTCAATTATGTATATTAGTAATAAATAAATGCCCTTGTAATATCCCCACTGTCCTTTGGTACAAGGTAACTTCAACTGTGATACTTGGACTTAACAAGACATGTTCATTTATTCAGCAAACATGTCCCGATCACTTGGTATGTAGCTGATACTGTGTAGGATATCCTTAGTTTTCTATTTCTCACTTATGATTCCAAACTCAAATTCCAATAAGTCACCTACCATAACTGGTTAGAGAATTGGTTCATTTGTGTGTATTTGCAAATTCAAGGTCAGAGAAATTCTGAAAATCTCAACTCCCTTAAAAATCCATTTAACATCCACTTTGATCAGCTCCAACAGCATAAGGTAATAGCAATTCCAGTAATCCTATGTTCCACACCTAAGAGCTCTTCCAGGTCCCCCAGTGTTATATCACCTTTCTCCAAAATGGTATATTTTCAAGCCACCCTTTCTCATTACTTCTCGTGTTCAATAAAATCTAGAGGAGACATAGCTCTTGCTTAGTTTGTAAAGATTCTGGAGCCAACTTGGTCCTTTGTTTATTTGCCAACAGTCCCTAATATTTTGTAAAATTTGATTAATTCCTCCCTCATTCAATTTACATAAGCCATCAAAGACCACAAATGTAATAGAAAGAAGCAGAGAACATCAACAAAACATCTCAATAAAGGACAAACCTAGAATAAATCATGAAGTCGCTGTCAATAGAAATTTAAAGCACAAGATTTTATTTTCTTTTTAATCTGTTGCTATAAAGTATCAGCCATCTTCAGAAACAGAGTGAATCTGACAGTTTTGTGTTGACTCTCACATTTCCCATTATGGATCCCTCTCATGTCTGTCCCGAAGCAAAAATAAATTTCCCTTTTTAAGCTTTTGATGATAAAAATCTCATCTGAAGCCTCATAAATGATCCTTTATTATCTAAATTAATAATGAATAAATTTCTTTTGAATACCCCTGATCTTTTGCATTAATAGCACCAGATGTATTATAGATAACCTTTTGATTTAACAGCACAAACTCGGAAACAATATTAAACACTAAAGGACTGAGCTGACTGGAGTCACTGAGGTCAGAATTATAAACATTTCTTTCAGTTCTATGTGCCCATTAGGTGACACTAACACCCATCAGTATTTATTTTTGGAATGTGTGTGTAAGTGTGTGTGTGCGTAAAAGAGAGACTGCCCTAGAAACTCATAAATTTTTATTTTCTGCAGCCCTTTAATTCTCACACATTTCATGTTCCTTCCTCAACTTTTTTCTAGTGTGAGCTGAAGAACTCAACAGAGAAACTATTTAAAGCATCCCTGTAATGCCCTGTTTCATTTCTAGCCTGTTTTTTAAAAAACAAAATTAATCTCATATTATTGCATTTCCAGTTGGAAAGATTCTAATGCATATTACAAAAAATTAAAGAATCATTAACAACAATCTTAGCCATTCCTTCTTCAGACTTTTTATTGAACTTCATTAATTACCTATTACTAAATGCCCTCTTACCCCATCACAGACTCCCACAGATGAAGAAGCATCAGGGGACGCGGTGAGCTCTGCCATGTCACAGAGATCCTCAGGGCAGAGCCTCAACAGTAACACAGATTCTTCACTCAGGGTCAGTTTCCGATACCATAGTTTAGCTTCATCCACTTCCATATGCCTCCATTCTTGGATTGGGAGCTAGAATACTATGGAAAACAGTTATGGGTTTGTGGGCTCCCTCTGGGAATCAAGGATAAGGAAGGGAAGGGAGCAGGGACAAAGGAGAGAAATCACATGTTCCCTCTGGAAACCTGTGCCTGATAAGTGGCCTGACACCTTCTCTCACAATGGAGAATGTGTTTCAGACTCCAGTATGCTTATATCCACTGTCTAGGAATATAATCTATCAGAATGCCTGAGAAGCTGACTTATTAATAAGAAAGGGATTTATGAACATGGGATTCATGTTCTACTTTTACTATAGGAAAGTATCAATGGGAAAAACAGGAATTAAGGCCTTTTTTACTTTCCCTTTGATACTTTCCCACACCAAAGCTCCGAGAAAAAAACTGGAATTCAGAGTAAATTTAGCTCGGAATACATTTAAATCAGTGTGCTGCCTCTTTCAAGGCTACTCACTTTTAAAAATTTACCTTTTAAATAAATTCCTTATTTTAGAATGGATTTAGATTTACAGAAAAGTTGTAAAAGTAGTTGTATTAATCAGGGTTCTCCAAAGAAATAGAACCAATAGGATGTGAATACACACACAGAAAGAAATTTATTAAAGGGAATTGGCTTATGCAGTTACGGAGGCTGGCAAATCCAAAATCCATAAGGTGGGCCGGCAGGCTGGAAACCCAGGAGAGCTGCATTTCACTTCAAATCTAAAGGTAGTCTGCTGTATGAACCAGGAAGAATTGATGTCACCGGTAAAGTCTGAAGACAATATGCTACAGAACTCTCTCTTGCTCAGGGAGGCCAATCTTTCAGGCCTTCAACTGATTGGAGGAGGCCCATCTACATTATGGAAGACAATCTGCTTGACTCAAAATCCACAAATTTAAATGTTAATCTCATCCAAAACACCCTCACAGAAACATCCAGAATAATGTTTGACTAAATATCTGGGCACCCAAAGCCCAGCCAAGTTGACACACAAAATTAGCCATCACAGTAGGGCAGAGTTCTCATGTACTCCATGCCCAGTTAACATCTTAACATCAGCATGGTACATTTGTCACAGTTAACAAACCAATAATGATACATTATTACTAACTAGGGTCTATACTTTATTCAGATTTCCTTAGCTTTTATTTAATGTCTGTTTTCTACTCCAAGACCTCATCCAAGACTCCACAATACATTTAGTAATCATGTCTTCTCAGGCGCCTCTGGGTTGTAACACTTTTTCAGACTTTCCCTGTTTTTGATGACCTTGACAGTTTTGAGAAATGCTGGTCGATATATTGTTATAATGGAATTTTTCTGATGTGTTTCTCATGATTAGACTAGGGGCATGAGGTTTTGGAAGGATGACTACAGAGGGAAATTGGCATTTTTTATTGAATCATTTCAAGGGTCCATCATATCAACATCATTTGTGACTGTTGATGCTGATCCTGATTGCCTCACTGAAGTAGTATTTGTCAGGTTTGCCCAGTGTGAAGTTATTCTTGGTTCTCTTCTTTCTGTACTGTTCTCTTTAGCAGGAGGTCTCTGTGAATCTCACACTTAACAAGTGGTGACTTATGGTCCACCTTCTTGAGATCAGAGGATTTATATACATATAAATTATTTTGAATTCTTCCACATCAGAAATGTGTGTATTTGGGGCAATGTGCTTTTAAGGATACCAATTTCTCATGAAATGAAAACTTCCCTCTCTCTTGCAAAAACTTCAGGTTTGGCTCAATGGATGAGGGTAGGAGCAGGGAGATCTAAAATTCAACTGTGTGGGAAGCTGCCCACTCCTGTTCCTAAAGCTGGCTTTACTGCCCCACCACTGGGTAAGCATCCCAGGCAGACACGTATGCTCAAGGATGAAATCAATGAGAAAGCCTTAGATTTTTAGTTGATTATAAGCTAACTAAAATCCTTTCGAAAATAGGTAGGGCAAAATCAGTGTAGTACCCTGAGTTGGTCTAACTACACCTGGGGTGCTAGACTCAGTTCCAGACACCAAACATTAAGAGAGAAATACGCAAATGAATATGACCAGAGAAAAGTGACCAGCATGGGGGAGCGAGAACACTACACAATAGAAATAATAGGTCCTACATGTCCGGCTTTCTACAGTTTACAAAGTGCAATTGTGCACACTATGTCATTTAGTCCCTGTCTGAAATTGCAAGTCTCCAATTTGGTATTCCCCATCCCCACTTTTCTGCTTTGCTTTTCTTTGTAGTACTTTTGCCAATCAACATTCTCTATATTTTATTTATTTTCTGTCCCCTACCCTCAGAGAATCTAAGCTTCAAGAGGGTAGAGGTGTTTGTCTGCTTTATTATTTTATTCCCAGCCTAATGGGCACTCAATAAATATTTATTGAATAAATGAATCCTAAAAATATAACCATGAAATTGGCATTATGTTTAATCTTATGATAAACAGGCTTTCAGAGTAAAGAGATTTGCCTATTTCCACAGCACCAACAAATAAAATAGCTGGGAGTGGAATCTGGGGAGATCCAAGATATACAGGGGATATGTACAGAGGAAACATCCAGTTATGTTTCCTCCATACAGATAAAATGCTATTAAGAAAAGTGAGATATTTTATTTAAAAAACAATTTTCAGAAACATTGTGAACTACAGAGCAGTCTTTAGATATGAAGAGAGTTGTCCTGTAGAAAGGGGCCTGTATTCCTTCTGTATGACCCCAGAAGGCTTAACTGGAATTAGCCAGTGGAAATTACAAAGAGGAGGATTTTAATCTCAATATTAGGAAGACCTCTCGAACTCTGAGAGCTCACCTGCCCTGCCCCAAGTTTAACAGCCCTCCTGGAATGACCTGTTTGAACTGGAATAATTCAGAAGGAAGCTCCATGTTTACTGTGGGGGAGTATGGCAGAGGGGATTTAGGCATTAGACAGGTCATTTGGGTGGGCAACGTTTAAAGACGCTTTCCAACACTGAAACCAATTATTCTTATCACACACGGTTTCCTGAACAGGGCAACGCAGGGCTTCCTGAACAGGGTGGCACAGGTAAAGAATAGACAGAAGATCACTATATATAAGTAAATAAATATATATATCTGTGTGTGTATATATATACATATATATATATATTGTGTGTGTGTGTGTGTGTGTGTGTGTGTGTTGAAATGCCTTAGAGCCCAATTTTAGGTCATAAAAATATGTGTGGTACCAGATAATATGTAGTGAGGATTCTGAGTGTGTGCTTTGCACAGAAGAGGAAAAGTAGGAAGGTGATACACCCCTTCCCAGATTGTAACTTGAACATATTTTCTGATAACAAAGAGTTCATCAAGAAAAAAATAATAATGAGGCTGGGTGCGGTGGCTCATGCCTGTAATTCCAGTACTTTGGGAAGCCGAGGCAGGCAGATCACCTGAGGTCAAAAGTTTGAAACCAGCCTGGCCAACATGGAGAAACCCCGTCTCTACTAAAAGTACAAAACTTAGCCGGGCGTGGTGGTGCACACCTGTAATCCCAGCTACTCGGGAGGCTGAGAACCTGGGAGGCAGAGGTTGTGGTAAGCTGAGATTGTGCCACTGTACTCCTGCCTGGACGACAGAGCAGACTCCATCTCAAAAAAAAGAGAGAGAAGAAAGGGAGGGGAGGGGAGGGGAGAGGAGGGGAGGGGAGGGGAGGGGAGGGAGAAAGAAAATGATACCTGTTACCACCTCTATGATTTGCCATCTTTGCTTTAAGCCCATAGTCCGTGTAAAGCACGTAAGCACCTGTAAGCTGCACCTGTAGGCAAAGTTCCTTGTCCCTGGTCTCCCTAGAGCCAAATCATTCACACTTTGTACTTTCTCTACTTCAAGCCTTCTGCGAAACTCAATCTTTAATTAGTTTCATCTGCTTCCCACCAAAGATAACACCTGAAAACTGTCTTAGGGAGAGAAGTAAATCAAAATATCTTCCTCAATCTGGCCACTGATCCCATATTTGCTACAGTTGTAAAAAAAGAAAATAAAACAAAAAGTAATGTTTGCTTTTGCATGAAATACCCAATAGACTAAAGAGTATTTTTTTTCTGAAAATAGTTAGAAATGATGCTTCTTAGCTATAAGAATGACCAGGAGAGAAAAGATATACAAAGGGGGACAGCAGAGCTTGTTTATGTAATGATAATAAGGCTGGGCATGGTGGCTCATGCCTGTAATTCCAGCACTTTGGGAGGCTGAGGCAGGCAGATCACCTGAGATCAAAAGTTTGAAACCAGCCTGGCCAACATGGGGAAACCCCATCTCTACTAAAAATACAAAACTTAGCCGAGCATGGTGGTGCACACCTGTAATCCCAGCTACTCGGGAGACATATGCTCTACTAAAAGACTAATATTTAATATAAATTTTTTATTTCCTTAGGAAATTTTTCTAAAGTAGAAATTTCAAATTGCTTATCTTATTCCATTTTATCCAAAGCTATGGAGATAACTTTCATGATGTTTTATTTGATATATGGAGGGAAAAAAACTAGTATTTTGTTGCTACCATAGTCATCCATTGGTTATGGTTATTTTGAGTGGTTTCCAAACACATGGTGTTTTCAGAGGGTGTCGAGGCCAGCTGGGAGACTAGGCAGGGATTAGCAATTGGGGGGATCTAGGCACAGTGGCTCACGCCCGTAATCCCAACACTTTGAGAGGCCAAGGTGGGCAGATCACCTGAGGTCAGGAGTTCGAGACCAGCCTGGCCAACATGGTGAAACCCCATGTCTATTAAAAATACAAAAATTAGCCAGGCGTGGTGGCGTGCACATGTAATCCCTGCTACTCAGGAGGCTGAGGCAGGAGAATCACTTCAACCCAGGAGGCGGGGGCTGCGGTGAGCCAAAATTGCACTCTAGCCTGTGTGACAGAGGGAGACTTCGACTTTAAAAAAAAAAGGAGTTGGGGGGAAGAGGGGGGCACAGAAACAGGTGGCTCCTATGACGTGCTGTTAAAAATGGGTTGAAACACATCAGCTTTAAACAACCCTCCTCCTGCCATCCTCCTCACCACAGAGGGAAAGCATATGGTATTTATTATCTCCCTACAGACACTCCTCTGGAACTGAGCTGCTTAGGTGTTTTGACAGATTTTTTAAATCTTAAATTTCAGTACTAAATGACTGAATAAGAGTATCCAAGGTCTTTATGTGCCAGACAGCAAGATATGTGAGAGAAAGAGAGAGAGAGAGAGAGAGAGAAATAAATAAACCCAGGTCCTGCCCTCAAGGAGCTCAGAGTTTAGGTGGGGAGACAGAAATATAAACTGATCATTTCAATATACTGCCCTGAGGGCTATGAGACAGAATGTGGATTGACTGCAATTAATCATTCCAGTCTGGGTTAGATGAGATTGAAGGATTAATCAGAGCTCTGCAGGTGAATACAGTTTGGGAATGATATTCTGGGAAAAGAGAAGAGAAAGACAAAGGACAAAGGAAGGGAATTGCATGGCCAGTTTGGGGAATTACATAGAGTAGATGTAGTAGATGTTCCTTGGTAAGTAACCCAACATAAAAAACAGTTGAAAGGCCCAGAAATTTCTTTCAAAGACAATGGGTTGACCCATCTTCAGAGGAGAAAGAGGATTCTGAGAGGCACAAGATATATAAAGAAGGGAAGCAATGGAAAAGGAATTAAATAATAAAGGAAACATTTGTCTGTATCTTTGTGGGTCACTGGGCACCAGAGGCACCATTGGTGACAATAGGGGTGACAGCACTGGTGACCGCCATAGTCACAGCACAGGTGGCTCTGACAGCAGCCATCACTAGGGTGTAGAATTAATAACGCTGACATCAGAGCTTCCACTTCTGATGCTAGTATCTACCAAGACACAATCAAAGACCTTTAAAACATGAGGAAAAAGCAAAGACGAAGCCCCTGAGGTACAAAGCCAGCTTTCAGAGCACACGTTGAACGCCACTGGGGCCCTCCCAGAGCCATTTGGGAGGACCGTGGGCATTTGGAGTTTGTGTAGGGAAGGTGGGGACAGAGTCAGAAAACATTTTTTAGTGACTGTTTTTGTCAACCAATTCACAAAATGTCTTTTCAAGACTTAAAAAGTATGAGGTCTGAAGCAGTAATAGAAAAGAACTAGAGAAAGGATATTTGAAGATATATATTTTTGTCAACACAATACCCATTTCCCCTTCCTAATAATGTCTTTGTTTCAGTTTAGGAAATCACTTCTTCCGCATTGTGTGGGGTCTTCGTGGGACAATAACTGTGGATGTTGTGTGGTAGATGCGCCTGAGAGCAGTAATTTGACTTGAGCATACCCTAAGGATTACCCTGTGTGGCACTCACACCTGAATGTGTGTTTGGGGTTCCAAGCTAAGGGATCCAGGAGTGGGCAACATGGAGATCCATTCCTTGTCTGTGAGGAGCACCTGAGCCCCCAGCCCGTATCATAGAATGTGGGCCATACAGGGTATCAAGGCCCTTTGTCTTGGGTTAAATGAAGGTTGCTTGATGGAGATTGTTAGGGGGAGGGTGCTAAGTGAAGATGCTGTATGAACTGCATGCTTTGCACAAGCGGTTGCAGTTCTGTCCAGCCTGCTGCCACTGGCCCACTTTGTATGTAAGTTTCTGGCTAGTGAACACTTAGGTCTTGTTTGCTGACTCTAGTTCTCTTCTGTCTCCTGAACCTGGTGCCATCTCTATTGGAGTTAATAGGGGTCTGGTATGACAGATGCTCGCCTCCCACTGTGGAAGCTGACTACGCAAGTCTCCTGTCAGACACCTCATAATGGGGGATAGTTAAGTGGTGGATACTCATTTGTAAATTTGAATCCTCAGAGACTATTACAAGGGCAGACACATCATACTGGGGGATAGTTAAGCAGTGGATACTCTTTTAATTTTGAATCTTCAGAGACTAACACAAGGTCAAAAGAAATGGAAGTCATACCAATACCAGTGGAGGAACCCAACTACGAGTTCAAGTTCCTGCCACAGGTCCAGCCTTGTAGTTTTAGTTAACCCTAACCTTTTGGTGTTACCTTACCCTTCCCACACTCAATCCTATTTCTCCAGCGTGCTCATTATTATTGTAACCTTCTGACATCCTTTCAATATGTGCCCTATATTTAAATTTCCCAGAGTCAAGTTCTGCTTTGTGCCTCTAACAAATTCTATATGATATAGTCTTGAATGCCATGTTTGTTCCTGAAGTTGATTTTTCCTATATAAAAATGGTGGAAAATGGAAGGTTAGTTACTCATGGAACATAAACCCCATGTGAGTAAACCTTATTTATGTGCAATAAGTTAGTAGACAATGAGAAATCACTTGGTGCAGCGTCTCAGGTAGGCTTTGCCACTAAGCCTGACGAACTGGTGGGAAGTATAAGAGGCCAACACTGAACAGAGATCTGCTCTTTAGAGTAGAAGGTGGCCAAGAGCATTGATGAACTAAGAGGCTACCAGTATGTGTAGGTCCAATGTCTGAGACCTGGTATAAAGATTTTTATTCCTAATTCTGTAAATGATAATATCAAAACATCAAATTAGCAATTCAGCACAAAGCAGGAACAAATCCAGCTAAGAAGCTACACCGATGCGGGAACTCTTAGTCTACAGGTGGTAAGTTCCAGTCTAGGGAGAAGGGGTGAGAGCCCTCTTGAGAACTATGCAGAATTCCAGGATGCAGCTTACATGGATTAGGACCCATTTCTAGAGGGGCATTGTGCTACTAGGCTCAGCAAGTGGGCAGAGTATGGAAAAGGAAGCATGCAGACGCTCCCTTTGGTGAACATGGGGACTTGAGAACATAAGCAGTTCTGTGACGTAGGGGCTGGCTGTGCATTAGCGGTGCATGCAGGCTCTGAGCTATATGGCGGCCAAGGAGGCTTAGGGATAAACAGCATAGTCATTTTGGAGTCTAGCGAGGCTGGATTTCTGGACTCTAAGAATGGGAACATGATGTACATCCAAACCCAAATGGATAAGGAAGGCTTTCACATGTTCCCCCCAGATTGGCTCTGGACTGAGGCCCCAGGTAGAGGCGAGCAGTGAAATACCTTTGAGAAAGTGGGAACAAATGGAGAAACAAAGTCATGAGTAGTGACAGGGTACAATGGCTCATGCCTGTAATCCCAGTACTTTGAGAGCCGAGGTGGGCGGATCACTTGAGCCCAGGAGTTTGAGACCATCCTGGGCAACATGGCGAAAACCCATCTCTGCAAAAAAATATAAAAAGTTACCTCAGTGTGGTAGCATTTATTCACCTGTAGTCCCAGTTACTCAGGAGGCTGAGGTAGAAGAAATCACCTGAGCCTCAGAGGTTGAGGCTGCAGTGAGCAGATATCACACCACTGCACTCCAGTCTGGACTTTAAAGTGAGAACCCATCTCAAAAAATAAAAAAGAAAAAGAAAAAGAAAAGTCATGGGTAGCATATAGGAGTCCTCATGAGTTGTCCTCAACCTACCATTAAAATCTTATTTCTTTTTGCCCCCATATCCTATCTATCCCTTGGCCAAACTAAACTACGGATGTTCTCTAAGCACTCTCTCATTTTCTAACTTCTTTTCCATTTTCTATTACTATTTCTGCCTTACTCCTACAGTATTGGCTTGACAAAATTTTTCCAGTTCTACAAGGCTGACTTCAAATTTCACGTCTTCATAAAGCCTTTCTGGATTCAACATATACATTCACACTTGAATGGACACTGAATTCTTCCTTCTCTGAATTAGCACGTAATTCTCTCTGGGCTTTCTGATCTCACTTAATATTCTATTCTATGATGGAGTTATTTGCATATGCCAAATTGATAGTTTACATACAGCTGACACAGCACTTGCTAGGAGCAGTGCAGCATGCCTCCTATTTGCTGCCACTTGATAACATCCTTCCCACCAGCACGGGTTGTTTGTCCTGCAAGGATTTAGAGACCCATCAGGTGACTCGGGGCCACATTGTGAGAGCCAAATCCATGTGAATTAATTCAGTATTCATTCTATTGCTGTTTCTTTGATTCCTGTCTCTCGCATGCATTCCTTGGTTAGGGAATGGGGGTAGTTTCTCTGATTTTTTGACCCTTGACCCTTCTTTCCTGATCTCAATGCTGCATGACTGTTCTTTCTAATGGGTGTTGTAGGGTTTGCTTTGCTGCCTCCCACAGTTTCCTCCCTTCCTCCACATTAACCTGCACTTTCTGGGTAATGGCGCAGTCACCAGCAGCACTCAAGCTCTCAGGCCTGTTTGCATCACTCCTCTCTTCTTGCCATGCTCCCAGTGGGACTTCGCCGGAATTAGCCAAGTAGGAGCTCAGAGGTGAGGCTCCACACAAGCAAAACTGAAGCGAGAACTGATTCAGCTGGACAGTTCAGGCCCTCAATCTTCATGTCCAATGAAAAAGCAATTACGTGGGCCAAAAGTGTAAACTGGTTATCTGAAATCCCAAATCTGTTGGACTACTGAGGAATTCTTTTATATATACATGAAGCTATTAGAACAAAATCACTTGGTCAATATCTTTTTCATATATTACATGCCAAGGTTATGGAAATACATCAAATTGAAAAGAACAAACTACTGACTGCATATTTTTACAGTCTTTGGGAAAATGTAGAGCAACATTTTCGTATAACCAGACAGCAAAATATCTGAAGTAGAAATACTTGTAGATAGCTAGATGGCTATATATAATTATGTTCACATATAAAGTGGCTACTGGATTATTGGAGTGGCCAGAGATGGAGGGGAGGTGGTCTGAATAAGGGAGGTAAGCTTTAAGTAATTTTTAAAGTGAAGCATCTAGCATTTTAGAATCAAAACTTGAAACTCTCAATTTATACATAAAAAACTGAGGCACAAAAAAATAGGGGTGGGTCACACAGCAAATGACAGAGCAAGATTTCACATACAGTCTTATAAATTCTAAGAAAGGTGGAATTTTACATGCAGTTCATTAGAAAAGCATTCAGAGGCAAAAGTAAAAGAATTCCTACAGGAATTATACAAGTTTCAGTTCACAGGTAAGGCTACTTGCCCACAGCCAAAAATCAGATGGCAGTGACAATTAACTAGATAATTCAGAACCAAATTTTTTACCTCTTGCAGAATTTGTATGAATGCAAATGGCATTTTGCTCTTTGGAAGTGTCCAAATTCATTAGATGATGATCAGGCAAAGAAGGAAACCATGGATAGATGCTCTCCTTAAGAACAAGCAACCAAGTTGTAATCAAAGGTGGGGACAATTCAAAAGAGGAGACTTGACTAATGGAAGCCCCTATAATTCCCACCATTTTAGCACTAATTTCACCATTCCATATTAGCCTATTTATTTCTCTGTATCCACCACTGGGCTATAAGGTGCATGACAGCAGGGATGGAGCCTGCCTTTGTTGCAGTTTGCATGGCATGTGGTAAAACTCAGCAAACACTGGATCAATGAACTGAATGACCTAAATGAATTTGGTTTGGTATTTGAGATGAGAATCTAGGAGTGACTATAGAGGTGGCTCTCAGTGAGGCACACATTAGATAGAAGAGAGGAGGTATAAATGCTACGTCCTTGCTGTAATTAATCTAGAGATGTGATATGAGCACTTAAAGAAGAAAAGGTTAGATCAAGAGGGATACACAGCAAATAAAAAAAAGAAAACAACAACGATCAGTTAGACTCAAAGAAAGGGCTCCATGTGGACCCTGGCCATGGGGCCAAAGCTAACCAAGCCACAGACTGGCCCCAACCATCATCATGAAGTTTGGTCCTAAGGCTAAGCTCTACTCAGCAAAGTATTGGCCAGAGCAGCTGTAATCAGTGCATAACCAGTGTGTAACCAGCTGTAATCAGTGTAACTATTAACCATCAAGGAGGGGTCCCAAGTATCAAGCCTAAGGTATAAGCATGAAACTATAAAATAAGAAGAAACCTGTCTCCCCCTAAAAATGAACTTTGGTTCATACCTCACACTATATACAAGATTAACTCAAAGATTATAGACCTAAATGTAAAATCTAAAAGAATAAAACTTTTAGAAGAAAACATGAGAGAAAATTTTTTTGATCTTGGATTATGCAAAAAATTTCTTAGATATGACACCACATGCACTATCCATTAAAAAATTGATAAGTTGGACTTAATCAAAATGAAAAATGTCTGCCCATCAAAAGATACAGCTAAAAGAATGAAAAAACGAACTACGGACTGGGTGAAAATCTTTGCAGAGCACATGTCTGATAAACATTTGTATCCAGAACATATAAAGAACTCCTAAAACTCAAGGTGATACAAATTAAAGCTATAATGAGATACAACTATTTACCTATGAGAATTATTAAAATTAAAAAGACTGACAATAGCAAGTTTTGGGGAGAATATGGGGGAACTGGAACTCTCAAACATTGCGGGTGGAAATATAATATAGTGCAACCATTTTGGAAAAAAACTTTAGCAGCTTCTTGAAAAAGTGAAGCATTTCTCTAGCATATGATCCAGCCATTGCACTCCTGAATATTTATTCAAAAGAAATATACACCCATACAAATATTTGTGTGCCAACGTTCATAATAGTTTTATTTTTCATAGGCCAAAACAAGACAGTCCAAAACAAGACAATCCAAATTTCCATTCACAAGGGAAGTGATAAAGCACAATATGAATGAATCTCAAAATAATTATGAGATGCCAGATGAAACTGAATAGACACTGTATGATTCTATTTATAAAAAGTCTAAAATATGCTAACTAGTTGATAGTGGCAGAAATTAGATTGGTGGTTTTGTGGATTTGGGATCTGGGGAAGGACAACAGGGGATTATGAAGGGACATGAGAAAACTTTGGGCTGATGCACATGTTCACTATACTGATCATGATGCTGGTTTCATGGGTATAGATGTATATAGGTAAAAACTCATCAAATTATACCCTTTAAATATGCATAGTTTATTATTGTGTTAATTGTATGTCAATAAAACATTTTTTAAAGTGAGACAGCTGCAGAACCTACAAGCTGGAAATGGCTAGAAATAGAAGGCAAAAATGTTGAGATGGCAGAGTTCAGAATATGAGCTGCAAGGCAAAAAGGTGTTGGCAATGGTTTTTGCTGATGAGTTCAGTAGATACCAGAGCAGCATGGCCTGCTAGCCAGGTCAAGATAGACAGAAATGATAGAAAGATAGAAAAGGGGTAGACTGGCATCAGACTTGAGTCCTGAAGACCAGGGAAACATAGAGGAAATTTGGAAAAGAATAATGAATCCACATAGAAGCATATTTTTGTTTTATTTTATTCGAGTATTTTACATACATGTAGGTAGGTATCTACTATTATAGTATTTAGATTTAGAACAAAATAAAGTTTTAAATCCATGCAAGATACCAAAATCATACTGCAAAAAAATGGGAGATCCATGTCAGAAATGTAAATTTCCAATCCTTGTATGTCAAGCAGTGGC
The DNA here is from genome assembly GCF_000001405.40 of Homo sapiens. NCBI lineage: Eukaryota > Metazoa > Chordata > Mammalia > Primates > Hominidae > Homo > Homo sapiens. The sequence continues at coordinate 8,290,546 of NC_000006.12, read as the reverse complement.
TGATTTCACCATGTAACCTAGTGGCATCTCAACCCTCTAGGTATGTTTAGAGAGAGAAAAACATTGCTCCAAATTCTTCCTTGAGCTATTGTACAAAAGAGAGAGAGATCAACAAAGAAACAAGAGATCCTCCAAAATAGGCAACAACTGTATCTTGGGGGAAAAGGGGTGGGCCAAAGAGAAAATATACTTAGGCCATGTCAATCTCAGAAAGGTAAGAGCAAAGAAGCCAAAGAACTTGACAACAACAAGCTACTGATCAGCTTAGAAAGTGATAAGTGAGGACACTGACAGTGAGAACAACTTAATTATAATCTAAATGACTAGTCTCACTAGAGACACCTCAGAAGCACTTATGGACAGACAGTATGATAGCCAAGTTTCCTCTCTCTGGTCCTTCATTCAACAATATTCAAAGAGTAACTAAGATGTGTCAACTAAGTTCTAAGCTCTAGGGACACTGTGGAGCAAAGATGGACCCAGACCTTGGTCTCATATCACTAACAGTCTAGGGAGGCAAATAAATAAATGACTACATCTATAATCATAAACTGTGGTAAAGACTCCACAGGAATTCACCTGGGATATCTGTAAACATTGGTAGTCAACAGTAGGATGTGATAGGGAAGTGACTGAAGCATGGTCAGAACCACTCAGGAAGCGAAGACAGGAAGAACATCAGAAAGTCCAGGATGGAGCTCTGAGGACTGCAACCTCGGATATCCAGGCTGAGGAAGGCACGGCTGCCGAAAACAGCGAAGGAGAGGCAAAGGTCAACAGTGATGAACGCAGCTCAGAAGCCAAATCAAGGGAGCTCTAAAATATCAGCTGATTTTGCTACATAAGAGTCACTAATGAAATCCTCAAGAACTGTTTTGGTCAAATTGATGAGGGTAAAACCTGACAAGAAAGGAGAGAGAGCAGAAATTGGAAGGGAGGTTGAGAGGGCTGCTTTGGGGTTTGTTGTTGTATGCTTAGTCTTGTTTTTGAATGAAGAATCTTAAGCAGATTTTAAATATGAAAGAGAAAAATAAAAATTGACAGGAGAATTGACAAACTAATTCTAAAATTTATATGGAGAGGCAAAAGACCCAGAATAGCCAACACGATAGTAAAGAACAGTCAGAGAACTGACACTGCCTGACTTCAACACTTATCATAAAGCTGTAGTAATCAAGACGTTGGCATAAGCCTGGACAAACAGATCAATGGAACAGAACACAAAGCCTAAAACAGACCCAGATAGATAGATAGATAGATAGATAGATAGATAGATAGATAGATAGATAGATAGATAGTCAATGGATCTTTGACAAAGGAGCAAAGACAAGAAAATAAAGTCTTTGCAACAAATGTTGCTAGGACAACTCTCAACAGCCACATAACAAACAAAAAAAAATCTAGACACAGACTTCAGACCTCTCACAAAAATTTACTCAAAATGTATCATAGACTTAAGTGTAAAATGCAAAAGTATAAAACTTCTAGAAGATAACACAGGGGAAAATTTAGATGACCTTCAGTATGACAATAACATTTTAGATACAATACCAAGCGCACAATCCATGAAAGAAATAATTGATAAACTGGACTTCATTAAAATTAAAAAGTTATCTGCAAGAGACACTGTCAAGAGAATGAGAGATGAGCCACAGACTTGGAGAAAATATTTGCAGAAGGCATATGATAAAGGACTGTTTTCCAAAATAGACGAAGTACTCTTAAAACTCAACAATGAGAAAATACATAGCCCAATTAAAAAGTAGGCTAAAGATCTGAACAGATAGCTTACCAGAGAAGATATACAGATAAATATAAGCATATGAAGAGATGCTCCACATCATGTCATTAGAGAGTACACATTAAAACAACACTGAGATCCCACTACACACCCATGAGCATGGCCAAAACCCAGAACACTGACAACACCAAACACGGGCAAAGATGTGGAGGAACAGGAACTCTCATTCATTCCTGATAGGAATACAAAGTGGTACAGTCTTTTGGAAACACTGGCAGTTTGATACAAAACTAAATATAATCTTATTACACAATCCAGCCATTGCACTCATTAGTATTTACCCAAATGAGTTAAAACTTTTGTACACACAGAAATCTACACACAAATGTTTATAGTAACTTCATTCACAATTTCCAAAACTTGAAAGCAACCATGATGTCCATCAGTAGGTGAATGGATAAACTGTGTTCTACCCAGACAATGAAATGTTATTCATTGCTAAAAGGAAATGCTCTATTAAGCCAAGAAAAAGCTTGGAGGAAACTTAAATGCATACTACTAAGTGAAAGAAACCAATCTGTAAAGGCTATTGTATAATTCCAATTACAGGCCATTCTGCAAAAGGAAAAACTATGGAGATAGTAAAAGATCAGTGATTTCCAGGGGTTGGGGAAGGGAGGGATGAATATGTAGAGCAAAGAAGATTTGGGGGGCAGTGAAACTACTCTGTATGATACTATAGTGGTGGATACATGTAACTATACATTTGTCCAAATCCATGGAATGTCCAACACCAAGAGTGGACCTTACTGTAAACTATGGACTTTGGGTGATCATGATGTGTCAACATCAGTTCATCAATTGTAACAAATGTGCCATTCTGGTGGAAGATGGTGATAATGGGGGATGCTGTCCATGTGTGGGGGAACAGGGTTCATAAAAATTCTCTGTGGCTTCCATTCAAATTTTCTGTGACCTTAAAACTGCTCTAAAAAATAAAGTCTATTAAAAAAAGAAAAATTGAGGCTTGGCGTGGTAGCTCACAACTGTAATCCCAACACTTTGGGAGGCTGAGGCGGGTGGATCACCTGAGGTCAAGAGATCAAGACCAGCCTGGCCAACATGGTGAAACCCCAGCTCTACAAAAATACAAAAATTAGCCAGACATGATGGCGGGTGGCTGTAATCCCAGCAACTCGGGAGGCTGCGGCGGGAGAATTGCTTGAACCCAGGAGGCAGAGGTTCCAGTGAGCTGAGATTGCACCATTGCACTCCAGCCTGGGCAACAGAGCGAGACTCCATCTCAAAAAAAAAATTGATAAGTAATAAATAAAAAAGAAAAATTGAAAGGAGGGGTCAAATACAAAATAGAGAGAAGGGGCTCTGTCAAATTCCTGGAAAATAGAGGCAAATCGAATCGTAAGCACCCAGGAAGAGACTGGATTTAAAGAACAGATAGAATTTCTATTTTAACAAGTGAGAAGGAGGACATGGTTGATAAAGATGTAGGCATATTCATATATTTGATAGCAGGAAGATGGTGAGTAGTTCCTGTGTGAAATTTCAAGAATTCTCTCCCTAACAGTGCGCTAGAGATCAGCTCCGCAACCTTCAATATTTAAGAGAAAAGACCCACCCATGAGTGTATGAAAACACCAATATCTGCTCTCCAGGGCCATGGGAATGAAGTTCCAAACTAAATATAATCTAAATTACTATTCTAACAAGAGACTTAGCCTTTCCCAGGTAGGAAGTGAGGCAAATGTGCCGGCCTCAAGAGTATTATTTTGTGAAATAGGGCATTTATGGCTTCAGTAATTGGAAGTTATTGAAGGCTTGGGAAAAGGATGTAAAGGTGTTTAAATGGTTTATTCTAGAGAGATGTGTGTGTGTGTGTGTGTGTGTGCACGCACATGCATGAGTATTTGTAGGTTTCAACAAATGCAAATCTAAATAGCCTTTGCCAGAAAAGAAGTATTTTAATTATCAGACATTACAGAGCTATCATTTTTACAACTGTCATTTAACAACATAGGAGTCAAACTGTACTTGATGGCCAGTGAGATGCTGAAAGTGAGGACATCACTCTTTCAGCTCATAAGATGACCATTTGATGCATTCATGCCTTCCACAGGCAATCTTTAAGCTCTGCTGCCTTCTCCAAGGCTTGCTCCCTCTCATTAATACACACTCACATGCACATATAATCTATGATTGGCCACCTTTGTGCATAAATGGAGTACAAGCTATTTAATAAATCTTTTACTTTCTTTTCCCTAGTCTCCAACAACCTATTATAATTATTTCTTAACGGGTTAGCTTCCCACTTTACCATCTGCCTCTGAATATATGTTGGAGAAGACCCATTGTCTCACTAACATATTTTTATCCTGTTGAGTTTCACCATTTCTTCTTCCAATTATCCTAATAAATATTTCTGATCTTTTTCTCGCTTCTAATCTGTTTCACATTTCTGGACTTTAGGCTCATGTCTCATTAGGGTGGTGTTATCTTAGAATGGTGAGATGCCCTGTAAGAATTAGGCATCAACATAGGAAAATATAATACATTGCAAGGCTGTTCTCCATGGGGGTGATGAACTGAGTCCCTGCAACAGGTATCTGAAAATACAGATTCTGAATCTTGAGTGAACAGAAGAATAGAGGAATTGTTAAAATGGTGATTCCTAGGCCCCGCCATGGATATTCCTTCCTATAATATGGAAGATATGAAGAAAAGCCAGCTTTCTAGCAGGCATTCTGAAATATTCTGACATAGGCTGTTCTTGGGCCACACTCAGAAAAATTTCTCAACATAAATGCAAGTACCTACCAACATTGCAGGAATCCTCAGATTTCTGCTTTAGAAAATTAAGACTAAGAGTTAAGGCAGCTTCAAGGTTAGTAAACTTCGGCAATTCCACAATGCCCCCAAGGACCTGGGTTTCTTCCATCTCTCAACTCCGCCACGTTGGGTGTACTGGCATTGTCCTAACCCAACTCCCCTTATGGTTGCCTGGTGGCCACACAGTGGCAGCCATCCAGAAATGACACTCCAGAATAAACCATCTTTTTCTTTTGCTCCTTCTAAAAACCAAGGAATCCTTTCCCAAGTGCACAGATAGTAGTTGAGCAGAACCGCCCTCACACATTTCACCATCCTGAGCTGGGTCACGTTTCCATCCCTAAATGAGTGGATGGCATGAGAATTTGGACTATTCTGATTGGTTCAACTGGTCAGGAGCTGGGTCACATGGAGAGAGGGCAGCAAACAACTAAACAGTACAGAGAGGAAGAAAGTTGGGAAGTCACTAAGGAAGCAACCCTGAATGGTCATACAATATTTTATTTTTCGTCCTAAGCATTCTTACTGCTCCTATGAAGTCCTCAAAGGCACTTCAGAGTAAAACTAAAGCTCACTGAGCTGTAGTATATGCTAGTGACAACAGTACTGAGTACTCAAGTTTACCAGGTATAGAATGATACCACCATGTTAGGGTTAAGGCATGGAACTCCCTTACACACACACACTCATACCTTAGCAGTAAAAATTCTATTCTAAGTAGAGGAGAGAAAATTAAAAAGGAAATAGATCACCATGACCAAGTAGGATTTACCCTAGGTGTGCAAGGCTGGTTCAACATTCAAAAATCAGTTAACATAATCCATCACATCGACGAGCTAAAGAAGAAAAACCATATAATTATATCAATCTATGCAGAGAAACCATTTGACTAAGCCTAACACTCTTGTAATAAAATTCCCAGCAAACTAGAAATAGAGGGAAACTTCTTTACTTTGATAAAAAAAAAAAATCTACAAAACTCCGACAGCGAACATCATCCTTAACGGGGAAAAATTAGAAGTTTTCCCACTAAGGTCAGGAATGAGACAAGCATACCCATTCTCACCACTCCCTTTCAACACTAGAAGTTCTAGCTAATGCAACAAAACAAGAAAATGGAATAAAATGTATATCGATTTGGAAATAAGAAAATAGAATAAAAAGTATAACGATTTGGAAATAAGAAAATTGAATAAAAGGTATACTGATTTGAAAGAAACAAATGAAACTATCTTTGTTAGCCGATGACATGATAGTCCATGGAGAAAATGCAAATGAATCGACAGAAATCTAGATGACCTTGTGTACGGCAGCAACATTTCAGACCGGTTTGAATTCCAACTTCTCCACTTCCTTATGTTACCTCTAAAACCTTGGGCAGATAATATGACATCTGAGTTTTAGCTTACTTACGTGGAAGAAGGATTAGCAATACTTACCCGTTTCACTGGAGCGTAATGTCCTCCAGGTTTATCCATCTTGCCACACATGACAGAATATCCTTTTTAAGGCTGAAAAATAATTCATTGTATATATACATATACATATATATATATATATGTATATATATATATCACATTTTCTGTATCCATTCATCTGCCAGTAGGCATTTCAGTTCTTTCCACATCTTGGCTATTGTGAATAATGTTGCAATGAACCTGGGAGTACTGATATCTCTGCGAGATTCTGATTTCAATTCTTCTGGATAAATACCCAGAAGTGGGACTGCTGGGTCATATGGTAGTTCTAGTTCTCATTTTTCAAGGATCCTTTGTATTGTTTTCCATAGTGGCTGAATCATTTCGCATTTCTACCAACTGTGTACAGGCTCCCAACTTCTCCACAATCTGGCCAACACTTGTCTTTTGTTTCAGGTTTTGTTTTAATAGCCATTCTGACAGGTGTGTGTGGATAGCTCATCGTGGTTTTGGTTTACAGTTCCCTGATGACTAGTTAATGACATTGAAGCTGTGAGGCTATAATAAATAATCCAGCTGCAGAGGGACAAATACTGCATAATTCCAGCCAGGCACAGAGAGGAGTAGTAAACAGGTAGCTGCTAACCACAGTTCTCAAGTTTTAGGCAAGCAGAATGAGTAGGCTGCAGAGACCTGCTGCACAACATTCTACCCAGAATTAATACTGTATTGGACTCCTAAAAATTTTGTTAACAGGGTGGATGTCGTGTTAAGTATCCTTACGTACAATGAAAGTTTTATAAAGTACAAGTGAATGTAAAAAAGTCAACGTGGACTGCAGTTATCAAAGAGGAATTTTGGAAGGGCCAGAAAACGGCTTGCATACGGCCTTGAATAAGTAGTTAAAGATTTGAAAAATAGCACCTCCAGGGAGACCGGCTTCAGGCACCAGGTGCAGCTTCTGCACAACGTACAGATAGCAGTTGGGTCCAGAATTGGTGAGTTCTATGGTCTCACGGAAACTGCAAAGTCTCACCATGAGTGTCACAGTTCTACAAGGTGGTGTGTCCGGAGTTCGTTCCTTCAGCTGTTCAGAAGTGTGTGGAGTTTCTTCCTTCTGGTGGGCTCGTGATCTCACTGACTTCAGGAGTGAAGTTGAAGACCTTCACAGTGAGTATTACAGCTCACATACATACAGCAGCACAGACCCAAACACTAAGCAGCAACATTAATTGTTAAGAGCTTCAAACAAAACAAAAAAACAAAAAAAAAAAACCACACACCCCCCACAACTTATAAACTGACCTGACCAGATAACCACTGCAGGCCCAGGTAACCTGCTTTTATTCCCTTCTTTGGCCCCACCCACATCCTACTGATTGGTCCATTTTACAGAGAGTTGATTGGTCCATTTTACAGAATACTGATTGGTCCGTTTTGACAGAGTGCTGATTGGTGCATTTACAAACCTTTAGCTAGACACAGAGTACTGATTGGTGCGTTTACAACCCTTAGCTAGACACAAAAGTTCTCTTAAGTCCTCTACCCGATTAGCTAGACACAGAGCGCTGATTGGTGTGTTTACAAACCTTTAGCTAGACACAGAGTGCTGATTGGTGCGTTTACAATCCTTTAGTTAGATAGAAAAGTTCTCCAAGTCCCTACCAGTCCCAGAAGCCCAGCCGGCTTCACGTCTCATTGGCATGCTCGGCTGGACTTTTAGGCACCTAGCCCGGGCACTTTGGCAGCCCAGAGGGAGCTCGTCCCAGACAATCAAGAGGAAAAGAGGAAGCGAGAAAGAGATCGAGACCTGCTCTCGTGGACAAATGATCCCGGGAAGAGGGAACGGCGGCCCACGCACGGGATTCAGCCTCCGATCAAGCCCAGCAGGCGCCTGCCGGCCGCGCCGAGTGCCGGGCTTGCCGAACCGCTGCTCACCTAGAATCCACGCCCGCCCTCGAGCGCCGGGCGCGCAGCCCCGGCACACACCACCCCACGCCCCGTGCCTGTCTTCTTCACACTTCCCCGCGAACAGAGGGAGCCGGCTGGGCCTCTGCCAGCCCCAGAGAGGGGCCTTCATAGTGCAGCAGAGGGCTGAAGGGCTCCTCGAGCGCGGCCAGAGAGGACGCCGAAGCGGAGGAGGCGCCCAGAGCGAGCGAGTGCTGCTATCACGTTGTCACCTCTCACAGTGATAACAAGGAATGGGCTGTATTTCGGGATGGAATAACTGTCTTACTTGAGATATGCAATGTCATATATCTTCAGGCAGATTAGGGAAAGCCATGAACAGCAGTCAGAAGAATTTAAATAAAAGTGCCTTGGCTAGGCGCAGTGGCTAACACCTGTAATCCCAGCACTTTGGGAGCCCGAGGCGGGCAGATCACCTTAGGTCAGGAGTTCAAGACCAGCCTGGCCAATATGGGGAAACCCTGTCTCTACTAAAAATACAAAAATTAGCCCGGCGTGGTGGCACATAACTGTAACCCCAGCTACTCGGGAGGCTGAGGCAGGAGAATCGCTGGAACCCGGGAGGCGGAGCCTGCAGTGAGCCAAGATTGCGCCATGCACTCCAACCTGGGCGTCGCAGCGAGACTCTGTCTCTAAATAAATAAAGTGCCTTGAGCTGCTCTAGCTAAAACGTTCCTGAACCAGGTGAAGGTAGAACCTAGAAAACAAACTAGAAGACAATTACAGATCATTCAATTCAACACATTTTATTAGCACCTCCTCAGTGCCCAGCACTTTGGTGGGAGCTATAGAGACTACAACAAATACTAAGAGCTAGAAATACTCTGATCAGTATCAATAAACATTTTTTGGACAAATAAATGGGGAAAAATCATTATTAAGTAGTCTAGAAGGAATAACCACATTGGAGCAAAAGTTTCAAAAAGAAAAAGAGGATTATTTTTTTAAAAAACCATGAGAACTGAGCTAATGATGTGGGCCATAGGTTTCTCTCTAGTTAAAAAGAAACGTACCTTAATGAAATACTACATAATGAAATGAAATAGCCCTCTTAACAGTGGCCAGAATAATGCTCTGCTAAATATATGACCTTTTAAAAGTTCTAGATTTTGTTAACATTATCTGGATCATTTAATTTAAACAAAAACTCACGTGAGCCTTATAAATTGAAGAAAAGTCAAATCAATAAAAAGACGTTAGATATTCTTTTTTAAAAACCATGGCAACAAATATTTTCTCTTTTTTTTTGGGGGGGGGGGGGGCATGGAGTCTTACTCTGTCGCCCAGGCTGGAGTACAGTGGCAAAATCTCGGCTCACTGCAACCTCCGCCTCCTGGATTCAAGTGATTCTCCTGCCTCAGCCTCCTGAGTAGCTGGGATTACAGGTGCCTGCCACCACGCCCAGCTAATTTTTTTTTATTGTTTATTTTTAGTAGAGATGGGGTTTCACCACATTGGCCAGGCTGGTCTCGAACCCCTGACCTCAGATGATCCGCCCACCTCAGCCTCCCAAAAGTGCTGGGATTACAGGCGTGAGCCTCCACACCCAGCCCAAATATTTTCTTAGTAGGGTATAAATGAGGACATTGTCAGTAAAATGCTCCCAGCAACTGGTTTCTAGTCTTTCTGTTACATGAGAAAGAAAAAAAAAAAGGAAGAGAAACGGGAAGGACAAGGGAAAGTGGGTGGGGGGGTTCAGAGAGACATTGATTCATTCGCTCAATGTAAATAAGTTTCACTGAAACTAATACAATCTATAAGGTCATTTCAGCATGAGAATGGAAGTTGAGTGTACATCCATTTAGACACAAAATCATGACTCCTACCATGCTGTCCTTTCTAAAGACCATGAGTAAGCCAAAATGTTTTCTAAATTACATTTTCCACATCACCTGAGCTAATATATCAGAGTAATGTGAAATAGTATAAATTTGACTTTCAAAGGGGGTGTTTCAACCTGCATTTTTAAGTGTGGAAAATTAAGCTAATCCTTCTGAATTGATTAACTGCAGAAAACAAACCTGTGGGGAAAAAGGATCTATTTTCTGACTCTCTAGGCTACTCTCCAGGGGAATATATTTTTGATGTTCTCTTGGGAAGGAATGATGTAGGGTTGTCATTAAAAAAAAAAATCACACATCACATTTAGTTACATGTGACACAGTTGCCAGCCTGTACACCCAATTTTAACTGGGACATCCTTGCAGCTCTTTTGTGGCTCTTCTGTTTGTGGCTTTTTATTTGTTTTGTATTTGTTCACTGAGGTAACGACACCATGAAGCATAAGTGGCCTGTGCAAGGTACCTCATAAAGTGGACACATAAGTGTTTGTTGAAGAAAAGGAAAGGGAGAAAGGTTTAGAACAAGGTTAGGGAAAAAAATCACCACTCTGTTTCTGTTTTTATTTTACTCTTCAAGATATTCCTCCCATCCTAGCCTATGGCTAGGATCTGGAATCTTGCACTTATCCATCAACATTTTAAACAAATACCTGCAAACAGTTTTCTGAGAAATAAAAGAAACAAGTGAAGGCCCTTATGAGAGAAAAAAACACGGATTATTTCCCAAAAAGCAGGACTGTTTGACGTGATTTTAACAGGAACAGAAAGCAAATGGTCCCTGCACCTTCCAACTCACCCTTTTGCAAAGTCCAGCCCGTCTACAACACAGACCTGAAGCCTCAGGAAATAGTCCCAGCAATGTGAAGTGGGAAGCCTTACCTTTTGGCTCTTTCTCTCTCCCTCCACCCTTTACCCTTTTGCATTTCTTCCTCCAGCCATGGACATTATTTTAATCACCTTCAAGGAGGTTTTCGGAAAGAGAGGCTTGAGGGAGAGGAGGGGACAATGTAATAATTGTCCTTAGACAAAGGCAGAGAAGGAAGAGATAGAAAGGAGAGGGATGGAGAGGACCCAAACACAGAGCCTCATCTGCAATGCAGGGCCTGCGGTCCCCAGATGTTACCAAAGCATCATCTTCCCTTCCTGCAAGAAAAATTGGATTAGTCTCCATCTTGTCTCCTAATGGACACACTCTGTGATCTTTAGAGCTTCATTTACTGGGTTAATAGTGCTTTGCCTCAGTTCCTCTGCTATGGAAGGAAAAAAAAAAACAAAAACCTGTGAGAAGAAATATTCTGGGTGCAGTCCGCAACCACTGACACGAGTAATATCGTATTCATCACAGAGAGACCTCGTATCTCATTACTGCTGAAGAATTGCCCCGGAGGCGTCTGAGCTTGGCCAGACCAGGCCTCTCATGTGGAACCGTTCAGGTATATTGTGAAATGATTTAATGCGATAATAATGTCCACTTTGCGAGATAGATTATGTTTTTTATAGTGGCTGATGGTTAATGAATGATACATTAGCAAACATCACTAAAACGTTATTGGGAAATGCAGATGAAGAGACGGAGTGCTTTCTCTTGCTTCTTCTTGGCTTTCTCCCCAGGCGGTCCTGCTACCCCTCCCCCACGTTGATGCATAAAGATGAAAAGCAGAAGAACTTACAAGAATCAGAAAACTTAATTAATTTAAAGGAAAAAAAAAATCCCAGCTGTGTGTCCCTGCCTCTCAGTCTCTCCTTACCAGAAGGAAGGATGAATAGTAAAAATGTTCAAACATGAGCTGAAATATCTCTTCTTAAATCAAATGAGAATCAATGAAAGCGCGAACCTGAACAAATACATTATATGTTGACCCAGTTTATTAGATGAAGCCGTTTACCCTGATTTGATTTATCTGGCAATACACAGCTCAGCTGTGAAATGAGATAAGCCGAGCCCATTCACCTTATTTACTGTATTATCGCAGCTCTTGCTAGCACTGCCATGGTTAAGGGTCTGTCAGCATTTCCATTACAAATCCCTATTTTCAGTGGCTGCAGAGATTCACTCCCAGCTGTTAGTGGCATGGCCGACCCTATGCCAGGAGTGCAGCCTCTGCGTGGAAGGATTCCACTGCATTATTCACCATCTCCAATGCCGATGCTGAGTAACCAGGGAGAATGTGAATTTCTCTAAGTTGGTGAGGCTTCTTCACACCAGGCGAAGAGGTCAAGCGAGCTCCCAGCTACATTTTATTTTGTTTCTTCTCATTGACCTTTTCTAAATAGATATTTCCAAGATGTTCTCTTTTCATGTCCGTTCATTTTGGAATGCCAAAGCCTGCCTGCTTCCCAGTCCCCTTCTCCACCATCCCTCCTCCGAGGTCTTCATCAAGCAGAGAATGAGGGACTGGGATCCTAGAAGACGGGCTGTGGAGTTCACATGGGGCCTTCCCAGGAGAAGGGAAACAGACCCTGTTATTTTGAGGTTTTCAATGAACACCTATAATCCAGATGCCCAGATCCAATGAAGTTATTATAGAAACACAAGAGAGAAAGAGAGGCGAGGGGAGGGGGATTTTGACTATTGAAAGTTTTGCTTAAAGAGTAATAAAAAAGTATGTTTCTTATCAGCCAGTGTCATTCCTGCACATATGGGCAAGAACCTCCCCTGCGAGCCTCCCTGACACACCTCCAGGCTTTGGTGCAGGCACAACGCTGCAAAGCAGAAAGCAGGCAGGCAGGAAGTTCAAGGGAACTGGTGGTTAACACAAAAGCCCCTCCCCCACATCCCTGCGCAGTCCACGCTAGTCTCAGGCCTGACGCGGGGCCTGGCCACTGGGCTGAGAGGGCAGCTGACCCTGAAACCGCAGGGGACTGCCAGGCAACATGGCAGGCTGGCCCTGCCCTCCCTTGAAATGCCACTAAAATAAAGGAAATAGAATAAAATAGGCAGAAGCCCAAAGGGACAAAGAGAACAGGAGAAGATGCATCAGCAGATGAGCAAGGTTAACTGATTTTTGGAAGCTGGTAAGAGAATGGAAGGCAGGTGATAAGAGGAAACCACTCTGCAACTAGAACCCTCAAAATGCCTCCCCAGACACCCTGCCCCAGAGATGCAGATTTAGTCTCTAAATATATTCACCTAGAGAGGCTCCAGATGCCAGGCACGGTGGAGAGGCAGGGAGCTCCCATCCTAAAAACAGAAAGATTATGAAACGTCTATGACTGAGCTATGCCCTTTACTCACTCTGTTCTTCCCAAAATGCTGGTGGCGGGGAATGTGCTCTCAATACAGGAATTTTTTTTTCAGATTTGATGGAGAAATATGAGGAATATATACATAAAGCAAATAAAGAAATGAAGCAAAGTATTAATTCAAGGAAAGCCAAAAACTGTGAAGAAAAATGCATGATCACAGTATACAGCAGGCTCCGCGGTGAACAATATTCACAAAGTTTCTGCTGATGTCAACAATGGTGACTATAACCATGTTGGTGTGATAGGGAGAGTGAGGTATGAGAGACAGGCTGAGCCTTCATCTGCAAAAACAGGACACAAATGGATAGGTTTAAAATTGGGAGATGAATGATTAGCAGTATAAGCATATTTAGAAATGTGGGAATAAAAAACCCAAAGAAACAACTGAAAGAATTAAATGTGATGAATCGCTCACATTATTCATAGTGGGGGATGTGGGAGGCAGGTAGATGAAGGTTAAAGGTGGGGTAAGGATAATTCAGTCATGAACATTGGATTTAATTATGAGCCTCCTAGGATTCTTGATCGATCTATCTATCTGTCTATCTATCTATCTATCTATCTATCTATCTATCTATCTATCTATCCGTCTATCTATCTAATCTATGTATTTATATTATAGGGGTATGAGTGCAGATTTCTTATTTCAAATGTTACGTAGTGGTGAAGTCTGAACTTTCTGTGTGCCCATTGCCTGAATAGTGAACACTGTACCCAATACGTCATTTTTCAACCCTCACCCCCCCAAAACCCTTTTTTAGTCTCCAACGTCTACTATTCCCCTCTATGTCTATGCGTACCCATTGTTTAGCTCCCACTTATAAGTGAGAACATGCGGTATTTGGCTTTCTGTTTCTGAGTTATTTCAGTTAGGATAAAAGCCTCCAGTTCCATCCATGCTGCTGCAAAAGACACAATTTCATTCTTTTTTATGGACTCTTTATTTAACCCTCTGTTGATAGACGCTTAGGTGGATTCCATATCTTTGCTACTGTGAATAGCGCTGTGATAAACGTATGAATGCAGGTATCTTTTTGACATAAAAATGTATTGCCTTTTGGCTATATACCAATAGTGGGATTGCTGGCACTCTTTAAAACAAGATGCAAAAAACGTGAAATACACCTAAAAACAGGAAGTGAAATCCTGGTCAACAGGTAGGTTCCGGCTTCCTACTGTTCATTTGGATTTCTCTGTAAACCTGAAGATGACAGGGCTGCAGTAGCTGAGAAGCGCAGGGACATGGGAATGTGGCTCTTCCCCAAGCCCCTCCATCCCTGCCTTCCACCTACAGTGGCCTTCTTCCATTGCTTGAACACTTGGGCCCTCTTCCCGCCATATACCCATGTCACAGGGGTTTTGCACAAGCTGTTCTATCTGCCTGATATAACGTTTCATCTGCCTTTCTTCTCTCTTCTTCCCGTGCTTCCTTCAGCTCTCAGCTCAAAATACCTTCCTCATGGAACTCTCTGCTGACCACCCTTAGTCAAGTGCCCTGTTACTGACTCTCATGTGACCTTGAGCTGCTCTTCTGAAGCTCACAGCAGTTGTACCTCTGTCCCTGGGATCCTCAGACTGATGTCTCTCTCCCTCTGGTATTCCTTTATAGCTACACAAAAATATGCTGACACAGGGTTTTGGAGAAAATATATCTTTTACACCAAAAATAAATAAATCTATAAATAAAGGACCTGGTACAATGCCTAGCCTAGAGTTGGCTCTTGAGGAAAAGTGTGATGATAACTCAACCAGGACCCTGGAAACCCTTCCCACCACTGTAAGCAGCAGTGCCTAGATTTTCTCTCTCTGCTCATAATTCTAATGACTAGCATAGTAGCTGTTCACAGAAAGCACTCAAAAATAGGCCGGGCACGGTGGCTCATGCCTGTAGTCTCAGCACTCTGGGAGGCCAAGGCAGGAGCATCGCTTGAGCCCAGGCGTTCAAGACCAGTCTGGCCAACATGGTGAAATCCCGTCTTTATAAAAAATACAAAAATTAGCCGGGCATGGTGACGGGCACCTGTAGTCCCAATTACTTGGGAGGCTGAGGTGGGAGAATGGCTTGAGCCCCGGAGGGCAAAGTTGTAGTGAACCAAGATTGCACCACTGCACTCCAGCCTGAGTGACAGAGCCAGACTTTATTTCAAAAAAAAGAAAGAAGGTACTCAACAATGTGTTGAATGAAAGAATAAATGAATGAATGAATAAAAAACACAAAATAAGGAAAGAATGAGGCTGATACTTTTTTAATGATGGAGCATGATACTGTCACACTTGTGTAAATCCAGAAAGAACTTTCCCATAAAAGTGTATGTGTCCCAGCCTTGAAGATCCCACTCAACAGTGCGGAGAGTGGAAAGGGTATTATTTCTGTAGTTCTGTGGTTAAGAAATGCCCTTGTCTCCTCAGTACCCTTCCTCCCGAGAGAGTCATCCACAGCACTCCATCATAGTTCAAGGAACAGAGAATAAGCAGCAATACTTCACAACTCCTTCACTGGGAGTAGTTGTTTGGAAACTGGCATTCCAAAGGTATTTTAAGTTCTCAATTATACATCCAGGAAAGAACTCATCTTGCCTATTTTAGAGATAAACTCCATAATATGCAGATGCCTTTTATATCTTTTGTGATTGCACCTAACAATGAGTCCAAAGGCATTAATGAGGACAAGTCACTGATTTGGGGATAATTTCTTTAGGGCCTTATGGGATTCAGAGGTTAATTTTACTCACAGTAAAATTGGGTTTCAATGGGACACTAACAGTTTACCAGTTTTCCAACAATGGAAAAAATTAGCCATGCGTGGTGGTGTGTGCCTGTAGCCCCAGCTACTTGGGAGGCTGAGGTGGGAGGATGGCTTGAACCTCAGGGACAGAGTTTGCGGTGAACCCATGCCCAACCAACATCTTTTTCCCGTGGTGTAGAAGGTAGCAATGACCTTCACTATATTTCTTTTCAAATGGTAAAATTTGAGAGCTGTATCTTTTAAACAATACCACTGTTTTCAGCTCAGACCCGGGACTTGTTTTGAAGCCTCTGACTGTGTGAACACAGCTGGCTGTGGACCAGAGAGTCATTCAGATGCTTAGAGACAGCTCCAGGGGACCTAGCTGTCTGGGAGCAGATGGCCCATCAAATTGTATCAAAGCCAATATAGAAATATAGATGTGCTTTATTCAAAATTTCTCTCATGTGGCTGGGCCATACAGGGAAGGACCTGTGGGTAAACCTCTGGCCTTAGCAACTGTATATATATTTCTGTCATGACAATACTCAAATTTACTTTTGTGGAATCTGGAGCAAAATGCTAGTAGGTATTCCCTGAATTTAAGACTTAAACATTTGAACACCCAATTAAATTATAATGCTGATAAAGGATAACACCTGTTTCTAGGAAACATTTGGATTCCAATACTTTATTAACCAACTTTCCCCAATGCCATTTTGATATTCAAATTTCTTCATGTGGCATCTTTTAAAAAAATACGTTCTTCTAATACCAAACCAAGCTATTTTTCTACTTGGGGATGTTTTTTCCCCTTCCAATTTACAACAGATATAAATGGTTCAAGAGTTTATTTCTCACATCTGCTCTGCATTCAGGGATCTGCCATAGTATTTGCAAGCAAGGAAATTCAGTTTGGATTGTTTACACCGGCTGCCCACCAGGCTGCAACACAAATTCAGCTGGGACCTACTATGTCGCTGTTGCAGAAGCAACAAAACACTGCTTAAAGGACTCAGGAGCCAAAAATACTGCCCCTTTATAGTTACACAGAATGGTCTGACCAAGACAGATTGGTCGGTATTCTGTTGCAATTTCTCTTTATATTAATATTGCAGTACCACATCTTCCTCAGCTTTAAAATGCCTCTTTCTACCACCAAACAATGTTCTCATATGGGACAAACTGGGAAAAGCTTCTCACACCAAGGCTATTTTTTTTCCTGAAGTCCAACAGTTTTGGTACATTTTCAGAAAGCATTAAATATTTTGAAACCAGATGCATCTGGATTTCGATCCTGGTTGGGCCTAAACAGACTTCCTAATCCTACTGAACCATAATAATAATATTGCCTGCTTCATGGGTTTGAGATAGCCAATTCAATGAGATTTTTATCATGTGTATCAAAATATGACATGAATGAACATAAGATACATGCCAATTTTACCAGGAAAAGATTTTGGGGAAAAGAAAAGTAGTTTCATGGTACATGTGTTAAGAATTAATTTAATGCAGTTTTGGAAGGGGGAGTCATGACTTGTTAAATGTTAATGTGTTAATGTTAATATGTTTGTAGTAGTATATGCTGAAATCCAGGCAGAAATCAGCTCTTTTTCTAATTCCCATGTTTGGTCTATCCATACCGGTTTTTCCTATCTTTCTTAGTTATGCAGACTTTGATTTTGAACTAAGTATAGGTTGACCCAGATTAAAGATGATATTTTCCATCCTCCTTATAGAGGTAAAGTGGCAGTGTATGTGGCAGCTTCTAGGGAGTCCCTTAAAAGATAGTGGGTTCATCTCTGCTGCTTTTTTCTGTCTCCCTTCTTCCTGGTGGATGAAATGCAGCTACCTTGGCTGCAATCCAGGAAGCCTTCCTAGACCATGGCACATCAGATGACAGACAGTGGATGGATGAGAGAGAGAGATGGATCCCTGACCATTGTGGAGCTACTGTACCTAAGCGTACTATCTACCCTGGGGGCTCCTTTTATGGAAAGAAAGAAAATGCATCTATCTTGAATAAGACGTAACTATTTGGCATTGGACGGGATTTTGCTCTGTGATGCAGGCTGGAGTGCAGTGGCGCGATCACGGCTCACTGCAGCCTCGACCTCCTGCCTCAAGCAATCCTCCTGCCTCAGCCTTCCAAGTAATTGGGACTGCAGGTGCATGCCACTACACTCAGCTGATTCTTTTTATTTTTTGCAGAGATGAGTTAGATATACCAGGGCTTGTCTCTAACTCCTGGGCTCAAGCAATCCTCCTGCCTCAGCCTCCCAAAGTGCAGGGATTACAGGCATGAGCCACCGTGCATGGCCCCTATTTTCGGTTTTCTGTCACACTCAACTGAAGGAACCCCTACTTGATACATGGCCCCTTCCAGTTCCCTTCCAGGGGTGGTGTTTGCTGCATTTAGCAGCTTTCAGTATACTTCTTTTCCATTTTCTTGGTTGGTGACAAGACCAAAATACCACTCTGCAGCCCCTTCACCACATTTCTTTATAAAGTCTGTAACATGGAAGTTTGAATGTTAGTATTAATAACACCTTAGTTGCTTCTGAAACTTGTTATAGTAATAAAACTGTAAAATGTTATGAGCATAACTCCATCTCATTTTTCCTTCTCTGATTAAGTTGTCACCTGTGCGCAGAAGCCCTGTGTACTGTGGCTCACTAGAAACAGGGAAATTTGGAGATACTTTCCTTAGAAGGGGCTGCTCTGGTTTGCATATGGTTTGTCTGGCCCTGCAAGTCTCCTGTTGAAATTTGAGCCCTGTTGTTAAAGGCCTGGTGGGACCTGGTGGGAAGTGTTTGGGTCACAGGGGTGGATCCCTTATGAATGGCTTGGTGTCATTCTCTAGGGAATGATTTCTCCCTCTTAGTTCCCAAGAGAACTGGTTGTTGAAAAGAGCCTGGCACCTCCCTGCCCTTCTTTCCTTCCTTGTGACCTCTACACACACCAGCTCCCCTTCCCCTTCTGCCATGAGTGGAAGCAGCCTGAGGCCCTCACCAGAAGCAGGTACCAGCACCATGCTTCTCGCATAGCCTGCAGAACCATGAACCCAATAAACATCTTTTCTTTTATAAATTACCCAGCCTCTGGTATTCCTTTACAGCAATACAAAAATATGCTAACACAGGGTTTTGGAGAAAATATACCTTTTATGCCAAAATAATAATAATAATAAAGCTTTAAATAAAAGACCTAGTACAATGCCTGGCCTGGAGTTGGCTCTTGAGGAAAAGTAGAGGTGGATGGTGATGATAACTCAGCCAGGACCCTGGAAGCCCTTCCCACCACGAAGACAGCTTGATCTCAGCTAGGAGTTCTGGATGTCCAGCCATTGTTCCCATACAAGGAAAGTAGTCTCATAAGTTTCTGACCAGAAAATAATCCTTTTCCTCAGAGGTCTCCAGCTGTGGTAAGAGGAGTTTCATCTTTATTATTTGTCTTATGTTGTTTTGATTTCTTAAAAGCCCAGAGATCACTCAGAGAGGCACTCATTGCCCCACTTTTCATGGACTCCTGCACACACCCAAACATATATCTCGAGGCAGCTGGAAGGTGACTGGGCTTCTACCAATATGGTAGGTCCAGCCAGTTTGTTTTCATGATCAAAGTGCAGGTCCCTGATGTCCTGACTGTATTATTCTCCACTGTAGAAGCAAATGCAAAAGTGTAATCTAAAGAGCTTCAAGACATCAGCCAGTGTGCATTGCATGGGGCTGATGCAGCTACCCCCATCTCAGATTCATCTCTACTCCAGGTGCTCAAACTCTTGAACACCTGTTAAGTCAGCCAGTTGTGTGAAATCAGCATACGTCTGCAATGAGGAGAAAAATGGCATGAGAAATGTGTGGGAAACCTGCTCCTCTGTGCTTTTGTATCATGTGTCCACCCCTGGGAACCTTCCCTCAGCTGGGAAAAAAGAGGAAGGCCAACCCAAAGTCTTGGCTTGATCATTTATTTAGCTAGGTGACTTTTCTCAGACTGAGTTTCCTATTATTAGAAATAACGAGCTGAGAGGTAGAATGTGATGAAGATCAAAGGAGATGACATATGGGAAAGTGTCTGAATAACTCTGAACATTCATCTGTACAACACATTGGATTGGAAGTGGAGGTGACAGCAGCACTTTCTGAGAAGCTGCAGTAGAGTCTGTCTACTTCATGGTACTCATTATGCTCAGACTAAAGAACAGAGAAATCCTGTACCAGCTCTCCAGTTTTTCAATGAAGATCAATCAGTTTTGTCACACTGTCTTCTGCATTACTGGCCCCACTTGCTGATACAATGTCTATCTTCCAGCCAAGTATGCAGAAAGACTAGAAATGAATAAATGAACACCCTGTAACAAGCCTGCTTGTTTTCTTGACCTCTTCCAAAATGACATAAGCCAGTGTGATTTTGGATTCCATCAGGAATACAAAATAATCCCTATGACTCTGTTTTTTATATCAAACTGATAAATGATTTTACCCACAACAGAACCAGGATTTTGAAAGTCAGCAAATTAAATAAGCATGCAGACATTATGGTGTTGCTCCACAGTCAGTAGGGCATGAGTTTTCAAAGTGTTCTTTCCTGCAGTAAAAAGACGGCCACAAAGTCTTTGATGCTCCTTTTATGGAAAAGTAAAGTTTATGTTTTCATCCTTTGAACTGGGGCAGGCTCTGTGATTGCTTTGCCCCAGGGTTAAGAAATTGGAAACTTCCACTTCCTCTCTTGGACATTCTCTGGGAGCCATGTGAAACGCTGAGAACAGCTGCCATGCCAGAGAGGCCATGGCACCACCCACTCTTCAATAGTCTCAGTTCACTCCAGTCATCTGGTCATCTCTACTATGTTAGGTTTGTTGGTTTATTTTTTTTTTATGGCTGCTATACAAATTGCCACAAACTTGGTGACTTAAAGCAGCACACATTATTTTTTTATAGTTCTGGAGGTCAGAAGCCCAAAATCAATTTCACTGGGCTGAGACCATGGTGTCAGCAGGGCCTCGCTTCTCCCAGGGATTCTAGAGAAGAACCTGTTTCCCTGCCTTTTCCCAGCAATGACAGCAGAACTCCATGCATTCTTTGGTTCATGTCCTCTCCCACCATCTTCGAAGCCAGCAATGTGACATCTTGTGTCAGTCCTCACAGGGCCTTTTTCTTCTCTGTAGTGAAATCTCCCTCTCCCTTCCTCTTGTAAGAACATTTCTGATTGTATTTAGGGTCCACCCAGACAATTTAGGATGATCTCCCCATCTCAGCATCCTTAATCACACCTGCAGAGTCCCTTTTGCCATATAAGGTAACAGTCACAGATTCCAGGGATTCACACCTGAATATCTTTGGGGACCATTATTGAGCCCACCACACCCTCTGAGGCACATCTGTGCAGGAAACTGTCCTCCATACCAGCCCACCCGCCAACTGAATCCACCACCAACCAAGCACAGTCCATGCCACCTGGAACAGAAGAACCTTCCAACTGAACCCTGCCCAAATCCCTGACCCATAAAAGCAAGAAACATAATAAAATGGTGGTTGTTTTAAGCAACTAAAGTTTTAAGGTAATTTGCAACATAGCAAACCGGAACAGGTACTAATGGGTCTTGGTTGATCTGTGCCACTCTCTGTGCACAGGTTCATCCTATGATAGAACCACATATCTTTGAAACAGCTGTCAGGGTCAAGAACGCTTGGAGGAATATCCTGGTTTTCTCCATCACCACTGCTTGTGATGAGGGAAGTGAAAGGAATTGATGCTCCCGTTCTATTAATGGGCTTGGTTCTAAGCAGGTGAAAAACAGCCGAACATCTTCCCCTATTTCTTTTCTAGACTGTTTTTCACGCTTTGCTTAGCTTCATATTTTCCCTAATGTCTGAAGTAAAGACATGCTTTCTGAGTAAAATAGAAATCATGGGTCTGGGGAGAAGCATTTCAGCTTCCTTTTTTCTCATTTCAATATCTGACCTCACGAGCAGAGACAAGTTGCCCACGCACCTGTCTGCGAGCCACCACCACAGCTGCTCTTCCCACTCCCAGCTCCGGCGGGTCCTTCTTGTGACCTGGCAAAGCCTGCCAGGGTGTTTTTAATATTGTAGGAGATGAGTTGTCCTAATAGCCTCTGCCCTTCCTCTGTCACTGTGGGAACGAAACTTGCTTTCTAATTTTCTTGTTTGGAAGATTGAAATCCTTGATGCTGACTCTTAAACATGCTGTATGAATAAATACTCCTAAACAGTTTAAAGCAGTCAAGGGTCTGTGTAAAATTACAAAGGACTTCCCACATAAATTACTGAGTTTGTTTACTGGAGCTTGAGTCAGGACATTGTGTTCTTTGCAAGGCACTTCATTTCTTCATGGGCACAGATCATACATTTACTTAGAGAGACATCCATGTCCCCAGGGGTTGTGGAGGAAGAAGAGACATGTGAAGGCAAGTAGGATGTTGTCATAGCCTGACCCAGGCCACCGTAGGAGTCCTAATGTCTGCAGACATTAGCCTGGAACCCATGCTAATTCCTCCCCCCACTTCAGAATCACAGCTGATAGAGTTTAGAGTCATCTCCTATCACAGTATTTGCATTTCACTAGGTAATTTACAAAAACTCTCCCAAGAGAATGAATATAATTTACTAGTGAACCTGGTAGAGAGATGTATTTTGAGGATAGGCACAAAAAAATACTATTTGCTGAATGAACAAATGGACACCCCCATGTTCAGCAGACTGGACTTACATATTATCTTGCTATTTGTCTATAGTCTTAAATTCAACCACTGCCTTTCAGGGTGAAAGGTTGGAGTCAGACTCCTAAAATCATTTTGAATAGTGGCTGTTTGCCATTTTTTCTCCTTCTCAAGGAACATTTGTTGAGGTCAGGGGAATATTGAGAGTGATGGCTAATTTCTCTTTTACCCACTTTAAGCACTACTCAATTTTGTTTCGTGCACATATTTTTTTTTTCATGCATATATATTGAGCGTATGATAGGTGCTGGCCAGTGCTAGATCTAGGGTGTGTTGTGGACCAGACTAGGATGACAAAGCATCCTGGTTTGCCCCGGCTGAGGAGTTCCCAGGACACTGGACTTGGAGCTATAAAACTAGGGAAGTTCCAGGTAAACTGGAAGGAGTTGGTCACCCCTCTCCTAGCCTACCATTTCTGGTAGAAAACAGAAAATTTATAGTAAACACAGAATTATAATACAACTGTGAGGCTGGGCATGGTGGCTTATGCCTGTAATCCCAGCACTTTGGAAGGCCAAGGTGGGCGGATCACTTGAGGCCGGGAATTCAAGACCAGCCTGGCCAACACAGCGAAACCCCATCTCTACTGAAAATACAAAAATTAGCCAGGCGTGGTGGCACACGCCTGTAATCCCAGCTACTTAAAGGCTGAGGCATGAGAATCGCTTGAACCCAGAAGGCGGAGGCTGCAGTGGGCCAAGATGGTGCCACTGTACTCCAGCCTGGGCAACACAGCAAGACCCTGTCTCAAATAAAAAAACAAACAAACAAAAAAAGCAAACTGTGAGATAAGTTGAGAAAGGAGAGGAGAAAGGAGTCCTAGTTTGGTACTTAAGAAAGTTTTCCCTTAAAAGAGACACTTGAGTTGTTATTAGAAGAATCAGTAGAAGCTAGCTAATAAAGCAAGAGAAAACCCATCCTAAGAAAGCCACAAATACTTGTGAAGGCCTTGATGCTGGAGAAAGCACCGTGAATGCAAGGAAATAGAACACATCCTCTGTGACTGCAGTCCAGGAAAGAAGGGAGAAACTGCCTCAGGCCAGAGTGTGAAGACCTCTGTACCTAGCATTGTGGATTCTAGATTGTACCCTAAAGGCAATGGGAATTCATTGAAAGGTTTTCAGGAAAAGAATGAAGTCTTCATGCCATCAGGCTTCACCCAAGGCCTCTGCTATCAAACTCTTCATTCTTTGTGAGGGGCAACCCTACTCCATGCTAGCTCTGAACCAAAACCCCTTTCAGGCATAGTGAAATGAGCCACTCCTCTTTTCAGCACCAACAAACTGATATATGCATGGAAAAGAGCAATTTTAAATAACTAGTGATGGGTAAGTGTGAACTGCCCATGCAGACTTTTACTGCTACTTGAAAACACTCTGGAATTCATCTGGCTCACCCCATCCTGTTAAAAGGCCCAAACTCTCACCCGGGTGCAGCCCACAGTGACCCCAGGCTCCCAGTCACCCCCACCTCCACCTCTCCATGCCTACTCTGCTTTCTGGACCTCTGCATGGTGGACAGTTTCTTTTGCCCTCAGCCCTTCCAAGTGTGTCCATTTAACAGAAGGCAGGATTTTCCTAGGTCACTGTCTCAAAATGTGGTGCCAGGACATTGACATCACCTGGGAGCTAGTCAAGAAAGCAAACTCTTGGGCCCCTTGCAGACCTACTGCCTTAGAATCTCTGGGGTGGCTCCCGCAGCCTGCATTGTAGCAGGCCCTCTAGGTGATTGCGACGCACACAGGGGTTTGAGAAGCACTGTACTGGGCAAAACTCTGGCTTCCCAGCTGGCTCCATGCTGGGTGCTGCTTTCTCCCCATCTCACTGACCATGAAGAGTGGGAACAACTCCAAATCTAGTCCTCTCCACTTCCTCACTGTTTCTAAACCTTTCCTTCACCTTGGTGGCAACCTCTAGCCGATCGGCCTCACTGCCTATTTGAGGTCTGTTGGTGTGGTCTCTATGTACCTGATTTCCTATCTGGCCATGATCCTCTATTACCAACAACTCTCTCACCTCCCTTATCAACAGCTCAAACTCCTCCCCCTTGACCTTCCACTCTCTCCGCCTTTCCCATTCCTCATTTCCAGTGAATGCAACTCTACTTTCTCTGTCTTATTACCAGTTGCTGAGCTGTATTACAGTCAGTCAAACAACCAGCATTTCATCAAGGGCAGGCCCTCCACACCTAGAGCACCCTGCCTTGCTTCCCCTCCCTCTTTCCTTCCATCTCTCCCACTTTCCTTCCTTTGTTCATTCCTTCTTTCCTTTCTCTTCTCACCTCCTCTCTCCTTCTTGTCCCTTCCCATCCTTTTTTCCCTTCCTTCCTCTTATGTCTTGGTTGGTTCCCTGTTGAATTCTCCCCAGCAGCTCTCTCATCCTCAAACGCCCAAACCATTCTATAAAAGTCTGGATGGGCTGGGCATGTTGGCTCATGCCTATAATCCCAGCACTTTGGGAGGACGAGGTGGGTGGATCACCTGAGGTCGGCAGTTCAAGACCAGCCTGGCCAACACAGTGAAACCCCGTCTCTACTAAAAATACAAAAATTAGCTGAGCATGGTGGTGGGTGCCTGTAATCCTAGCTATTTGGGAGGCTGAGGCAGGAGAATTGCTTGAACCTGGGAGGCGGAGGTTTCAGTGAGCCGAGATCACACCATTGCACTCCAGCCTGGGCGACAAGAGTGAAACTCCATCTCAAAAAAAAAAAAAAAAAAAGAAAGTCTGGATGAAGCCTTCTTGTAACCAGGAATGTTCAGTGAGGTCCACAGTTCCCTCAGAATCACCTGGGAAGTTTGCTAAAGATGCAGGTTCCTAGTCCAAATGGTGGAAGTCTAGTTTCCTCTCAAAATACTCCTTTAAATATTTGAAGATAATTAGCACATCCTCCCTAAGGCTTGTCCTCACCAAGTAAAACACATCTATTATTCCAGGCATTTTTCTCACACGCTACTTGTTGGACCCCTTATATAATTCTTGCTGTGCTCCTGGGTGGTTTCTGGTTTTTCATTCTCCCTTTTAAAATCATTGCAAGGTCAACATTTCCATCTTTCTTTTGGCTTTCCCTGCACAAAGTGTCACCTTGAGCAAAGGGCCTTCTCTTTTCAGTTCAAGCACATTTTGGAAATTTACCAATTTATTGGTTAAATATAGTTATCAAATGCGGTCAATCATCATAGCTGCTTAGAGAGCTTTACAAAAAAAACATTCAGGGGCCAAACCCTCGCCTCACTGGCTTAGAATTTTTAGAGGGTGAGGCAGGGACTCCTTAAAAATCTCTAGGGATTACTGTTAACCAGCCAGTCCTGGTGCACCACTGACCTAGGCCTTTGGAAAAACTTCTGGTATTAAACTCTGGAAACTGCCTCTGTCTCAAATAATTATTTATCCATTTAATCCTTGGGTATTTAACAAGAAACTGAAACCAGAGTATTTCTCTCTCTCTCTCTCTTTTTTTTTTTTCAGCCAAGTATTTCTTTTTTGGTTCATCTCCCCAGATTATAGAGTTTTTCAAACCCCATGGTATTTTTGATGTGTAATTCCAAGTAGAAATATTATTAGGCAAACAATTTATTAATACATCTTATCTCATTTAAAAACCATCACAGGAAATTATCTTCAAAAAATCTTTGGGGCCACATGTTAGCATATCACAACAGTAAGCTTTGCTTTGAAATTATTTTTAATAATCTATCCTTGGGACTTTCCATGGGAAATTAATTTTAGAAACCTATTCATAACCTAGACACATTTCTCCCTTCTTTCCCCCACTCATTATAACTATAAATCCTAGAAGTAGCTCAAGAGGCAACCAAAGGAGAACGCTGAAAGGTGGTGAGATGAAAGCCACCAGGTTTGGGGTCCCAGGACTGGAGGAACATCACAGGGGCAGGGCACCTTACATCCTCCCAACCAACTCAGGACTCAGACTTGCTGACTCAGACCCAGCATTTCTTGACCCCAACCTAGCAACAGAAGGCAGCCCAGGAAGCCTCATTTCTCTCCTGGAATAAACAGGAATTCCTCCTGCAATAGGAGGCAAACCTGCACCATTTACTATGGCAAGGGGACTGGATGCCTGATCCCGGAGCCTCGCTAACAATACCAGAAGAGATGCTCTCCTGCCCTGCAGGGCTTGAGACTTCTCTACCCCAGTGAGAAATACCAGAGCAACAATTAGCTGGTCAGGGAAGCCCCGTCCCCATTCCAATGGGAACTTCCCTTCCCCACCAAGGTAGACATGGGGAAGGCTCCCCTGGGGAAGCCCCTCAGCCCCTCTAGCAGCCCTAGCAGGAACCAGTGAGAGCCTCGCTGGCAACGTATAAGCCAAGCAGACAAATAACACCACAAAGGCTCAGAAAATTAAACTACAGGCTGGGTGCAGTGGCTCATGCCTGTAATCCCAGCACTTTGGGAGGCAGAGGGGGGCGGATCACTTGATATCAGGTGTTTGAGGACTAGCCTGGCCAACATGGTGAAACCCCATCTCTACTAAAAATACAAAAATTAGCCAGGTGTGGTGGCAGGTGCCTGTAGTCTCGCTACTCGGGAGGCTGAGGCAGGAAATGGCTTGATCCTGGGAGGCAGAGGTTGCAATGAGCCAAGATCACGCCATTGCACTCCAGCCTGGGCGACAGAGTGAGACGCTGTCAAAAAAGTAAAGGAAACGAAAGGAAAGGAAACAAGGAAAGGAAAGGAAAGGAAAGGAAAAGACAGGAAAGGAAAGGAAAAAAGGAGAAAGAGAGAAACAGAGAGAGAAAGAAAAAGAAAGAGAAAGAAGAAAGAAAAAGAAAGAAAGAAAGAAAGAAAGAAAGAAAGAAAGAAAGAAAGAAAGAAAGAAAGAGAAAGAAAGAAAGAAAGAAAAGGAGGAGGAGAGGAAGGAAGGAAGGAAGGAAGGAAGGAAATTAAGCTACTGTTGGAACCACAGCCTACCAAATTAGGCAAGATCCTTGAGAACTAACCTATACGAGGTGACTACCTGCCAAAATAAAAGATTTAAATGGGATCCAGTGTCGCTCAACATAATAGCCAAAATGTCCAGGATGCAATAGAAATTTCCCGTCATACCAAGAAAATCACAACTTGAATGAGAAGAGACAGCCAACTCACATCAACTTCAGTTGAATCCAATGCTGGAATGATCTGAAAAGGATTTTAACTCAGTCATCAGAAAACATATACGCAATCCATCAGATTATCTTCAAACAAATAACAAATTAGAAAATCTTAGCAAAGAGAAGGGAGTTATTTTTGTTAAGCCACATGGCAATTATGAATGTGAAAAAACAGACTAACATAAAAATCTATCTATCTATAAAGAAATTCAAGAAAATATGGAACTAATTTTTAGAAACATTATTCATTTTATAGCTGCAGCTCTGGGGGCTCTTTAAGGCTTGTCGGATGGACAGAACCCATACCCTTGCAACTTCTTGTAAATTTAGGGTCCAGAAATGCGCAACATTTCAACAAGTGGCACAGAAAGGGAAATCTGGAGGGGGAAAATAGAATAATGTCTAAAAACACCAAAAAAATGCAAATTATTCTACAGGTTTTTCAATGATTCCAAACATTCACTCACTGATGGTCATGGGATGACTGTCGAAACAGTAGAGGCTCAAGCCCACCCTGGTGATTCTTTTTCCATGTGTCTTCCCTGGGTGCTGTGTTCATATATTTAGTGAGCTTCTTAGGAGCTACTGAGGCAGCCGATACATGGCTTGATTTGGGAGAACCAAACCTAAGAAACTATCACTCTTGGGTGTAATGCCCATCCAACTTTTAGCCCTTTATATGAGACTGTGAGTTCTAAAAGCCAGATGTCTTAGTAAACCTCACTGGGGTCGTGAAATAAGATATAGCAGTCTCAAAAATTCTGTAGTATATGCTTTTCTTTCTTGCTTTCCTAAGAGTTACCATCATCCATTCTCCTATGACCCCAATAAGATAACTCAGAGTGGTATTAGAGAATGGTGTTTCATTATGTGAACCTCTCTAAATCATTTCTCCAAAATAAACGTTGATATAGCAGAAGGCTAATAATGTGGTTATATTATGTTGCAGGTGTCACTGAGTGGTTGGAAAATCATATTTTGCAGTACATAAAAGGTTATTTGTTATGGCTCTTCAGTGATATCCCTTTCTAAATTTAATCACAGGCCCCACCTTTTAAAATATTGGGGCTAGCCAGGCACGGTGGCTCACACCTGCAATCCCAGCACTTTGGGAGGCCGAGGTGGGTGGATTACAAGGTCAAGAGATTGAGACCATCCTGGCCAACATGGTGAAACCCCATCTCTACTAAAATACAAAAAAATTAGCTGAGTGTGGTGGCGCACACCTGTAGTTCCAGCTACTCGGGAGGCTGAGGCAGGGGAATTGCTCGAACCCGGGAGGTGGAGGTTGCAATGAGCCGAGATCATGCCACCACACTCCAGCCTGGTGACAGAGCAAAACTCCATCTCAAAATAAATAAATAAAATAAAATAAAATAAAACATTGGAGCTAAAATATTTATGACTAATGGCTGAAAATTTTGGCAAAATATTAATGACAAGAGTAGTTCTTTGTGCATCTTATTTTGTTGATAATGGAGTTCTTAAACTGGGCCTTGGATCTTGTCCTAAATAGTTGTTTAGCTTTTTGGAAGGCCTTTGTCTTGGATCCAACTCAAACTTCATCCTCAAAACCATAAACTCAGAGAGTCCTCAATTAATACAACCCATCGTCATTTTCATTCATCAGTTTTAGTCACAACGGTAAGTCAAGAGGTGCTGTAGCACCATTTTATGGGCTCAAAATAAAGTCTGTTAGACATTTTCAGATACCCATTTCTTGTTCAAAAATTATTCTTTCCTTTTAAGAAAAAAAAAAAAAAAAGGATCCCAATGATAAACACCTTTCCACGAAGGTACCTTGTCAGATAGTGGGACATTTCTAAATAACATGTTCCCAGATTTGATCAGGCTTGTTTTGTCTGGCAAATGAATTATGTAAACCTTATCCACCAGAAACTGTTTCAAGTCAATTAATTGTTGTAATTACTTAAGATTTCTTTTTAATGAATATGGCTCTCCAGGGATTCGATGATATCCTGTCATCTGTAGGGCCTGATAAATGAAATGTGATTTGTGGCTCACTGCAAACTGAACCCTTGTACTTGAGCAATGTCTGCTTCCTGCGTGCTCGTTAAATGGAAGAAATGCCCTTGATGGAGGCAGGGACATTCATTATAAACAGTTCCCAGTTAGCTTGAAAATGAGGGGCTGAATTGACTGTACTCACCCTTCTTGCTCTCTTTCTCTCCTTCCATCCCTTTGGAAGGGAATTAACCAAGCCCATGACCTCAGTGAAGCTGCACATCATAATCATCATCAGTCTCACCATTCTGTCACTCATCTCCATTAGGTTCAATAAATTGAGGTCTCGAACAGCTATATGGGGATGATCTTGGAAGCTAATATAGAAAGCAAAGGATTATTTTTCCAGCTCTGCTGGCTCTCTGTCTCTCTTTCTTCCTCTATCTCTCTCTCCACCGCCCCCCCAACTAATATTTCTCTCATTTTTAAGGATTCATCTCTCCAAGAATTGATAAAGTAGGGTAACTTCTCTCTTTCAGGGCCACCCCATTTCCCAGTGATTAGTAAATTAGACTATAGCTAAAGAAAGGGAATCTAAAAATGGTACAGCAAAGTTCTGGAAACCAGTCCCAATTTTCAGAAATATGGGCACCCTCTATTCTAGCAAACAAAACTCTGTAATGAAACACAAATTTTCAACTTATCTATTATCGTCAGTGGTTTTATTTTTGCCCAGCGAAACATTTAGTCTACCCCAATAAAATAATGTTTTTCTGGGACATTTCTATTTGGTGGAACTCATAAAGTATGTGTTCATAAAGAGGCTTCTGTCAAAATTTATAGAGAGGATTAAAATAAATGAACATTACTGAGCCCACAACACTCTTATAAAACAGTATTGCTATACTCATGGTCTCAAATCAAATGTTTTTTGATTCACAACTGAAAACAGTCAGATTGGAAATACTACAAATAAAAGATATGTTTTCTTTGAAATTCATCACTTTTGCTGAAATTTATGCCACTGGATTGTGTGAAACTGGTTATAATGCATACCTGTAATAAAACTCTCCAACCACAATTCTAAACAGTTATCAATTACTATCCCTAAACAGCAATGTTTGCTGATTTGAAGTGAATTAAGATTTCGCCTTCTGTATTGCAGACTGTTACCATTCCCCTACAAATTCACTAGTTTTAACCAAATTTAAATAGGAAAGATATTGTAGTAAACAAACATTGATTTAAGACTATACGCCTTTTCACAATGGCATATCTTGCACTGCTTTAAAGGCATAACTCGAGGAAAAAAACTAGGAATATAAAAGACATTTGAAATTAAGAAATTTGTTGGACGTATTCATTCAATCAATAAACATGTATTTAGTGGCAGATAAAGAACCAGGCACTTGTCTAGACCTTTTAGTGACAATGATGAACCACCACCTTGATCACCCCATTTATTCAATATTTACCACAAGCCAAGCACTGTCCCAAGAGCTTTGCAAACAAGACACACTCCCTGTCCTCAAGGACTCACTGAGCCTTTAAACAATCTTTTGTTTAAATAAAGATTTCACAAGACAGAACAACTAGATTGCAATGTGCAACTTCTATTGACTGCCTCTGTAAGGTGAGTACCCAGAGGCAATAGTTGTTAGTTATTATTTATTTTTTATTTATTTGTTCATTTATTTTTTGAGACGGGTCTCACTCTGTCACCCAGGCTGGAGTGCAGTGGCGCGATCTTGCCTCACTGCAAGCTCTGCCTCCCAGGTTCACACCATTCTCCCGCCTCAGCCTCTGGAGTAGCTGGGACTACAGGCGCCCGCCACCACACCTGGCTAATTTTTTTGTATTTTAAATAGAGACGGGGTTTCACCGTGTTAGCCAGGATGGTCTGATCTCCTGACCTCGTGATCCGCCCGCCTCGGCCCCCCAAGGTGCTGGGATTACAGGTGTGAGCCACCGCGCCCCGCCTAGTTATTATTTATTACCTGGGCTGGGTAAGTACCCATTGCTGGGCATTTATGCAGATGGTCCCCTCATGGTAAAGAGCTGCCCAAGTTCTGGGTCTGATACCAAACCCAATAACTGCATGATTTTTGGCAAGTTATGGTCATCTCTTTACCTCTGCTTCCTCCTCTGTCAAAATGCAAATAATATCCATAATGATGATGATGATGATGATGACGATGGTACCTACCTCTCAAGATTTGTGTGAATTCAATGATTTCATGTATTATAAGCACTTTGTGCCGAGGACAGAACAACTGATCAATAAATTGTTTGTTATTGTTACCATCATCACAGCAGGCAAGTTAAGCATTATTATCTAAATTTAAGCAGTGAAAAAATAGAGGCACAGAGAAATTAAGTAACATTCCTAATATTATATGGCTAGGAATAGAACTAAAATTCAGAACAGCTTTCTTTCCCGACACTGGCAAGTGCTGCCTAGATGAATTGCTGGGTACAATTCTGCAGCATATCAGTTATTTTCTCCTCCTTTTCCTCTTCCCCTTCTTCCTCCTCTCCCTCCTCTTCCCCTTCTTCCTCCCCTTCTTTATCATCATCATCATCATCAGTAACCATAGGCATGTATTGAGATCCTAGGTGGCATACTACACTAGGAACAGTGGATTTGATACCATTTTAGTTGGATGCAGTCTTTCCCTTCTAAGATAGGACGGTAAAGAAGTGGCACAGAACAAACCGGATCCCTTAATAAACCCCTATAAAATATGTGGTATTGGGTTCATTTTGCCATAAAATTGATACTCTGATTGATTAAATAACTTGCCTAAGGTCACACAGAAAGTGGTTGGAAATGAAAGAAAGATCTCCTATTTCCCAAGATTTTGTGACGTAAAAATTATTAGAAAGGGCAATGAGTTTTCCCTGTTCCAACTATGCTATGTCTCCTGAGCCCCCTTTTGACCGATGACACCTCATTTCATTTATTTTTAAATAATTTTTTCTAAGAATTTGCTCCCATTTATTTTTCTACATACATTTATTTTCTATACACATTTCAGAATCACCTTGTCAAACTCACACATTAATTTTGTTGAAATTTTGCTGGTGGTGGTGTTGTTTGTTGTCTGTTGTTTTTTGAAACATGATCTCATTCTGTCACCCAGCCTGGAGTGCAGTGGTGCAATCATAGCTTACTGCAGCCTCAACCTCCCGGGCTCAAGCGATCCTCCCACCTCAGCCTCCCAAGTAGCAGGAACAACAGGTGCATGCACCACCATGCCTTGCTAATTTTTGTATTTTTAGTAGGAACAGGGTTTCACCATGTTACCCAGGCTGGTCTCAAACTGCCGGGCTCAAGCGACCTGCCTGCCTCGGCCTCCCAAAATGCTGGGATTACAAGTGTGAGACACTGCACCTGGCCAGAATTTTAATTAGAATTATATTAAATCTATCAATTAATTAAAGAAATTTGACATACATACTTTAAATACTCAGTTTTCCGTTTAGCAACTTCATTTGTCTTTCTTTTAATTTGTCAACTTTTACTTTCTTTATTATATGTTCCTATATTTACTCAGGCAGATCCTGAACATTTCAGGTTCAAAATGTTTTAGGTAGTTTTTAGAGACAATTTGCTATTGACAATTTGCAAAAGACCCATTTTCCATTATATTTTCTAACTGGAAATTATTGATACTTAGGAAAGTATTAATTTTTTAAAAAAATTATTTTAACCAGTAATTTATACTTGTCCCATCCAAGTGTGTTTTTCTGCTTTTCTTGGTCACAGAGCTACCCAGATTTCCCAAACCCTCTTGAAGCTCAGCAGGTGAAATGTCTGGCCAATGGGATGTGGATAGAAGTGATATTTGCAACTTCCAAGTTATCACTAAAAACATTTGTGTTTTTATCCTGGAGCACAAGCTTGAGATGAATCATTTTTAAGCACAAAGAATTAAACAGCATTCTAGAGCAGAATTTAGCAAACTATGGCCTGTGGATCAGATCTGACCTGTAGCCTGACTTTTGTATGGCCCGTGAGCTAAGAATCGTTTTACCTTTTTAGATGGTGGTAAAAAGATAAATACAAAAGGAAGAGAGAGAGAGAGCGAGAGGAGATGGGATAGGGAGAAAAAGAAAATGTGTCAGAGACTATATGAATCTCAAAGCCTATCTGGCTTATTACAGAAAACGTTTGCCAACTCCCATCCTAGGGGACTATTGTCAGGAAGATAGAAAGAACCTGGGTCTCTGAATCACCATGTGGAGCAGAGCAGTTGTATCATTCTTGAACCACTGAACTCTGGACTAGTGTGACAGGTGAAAATAGATTCCCATCTTATTTAATCTATCATATTCAGGCTCTCCTTGTTACAAGAACCATTTATCTAATTAATCAACTAACTAACCTTATTAGTTTGGACAGTTTTTCAGTTGACCTCTTGCAATTTCTAGATAAACTATCATTGGCAAACAATAATAGGGTTTTTTTTTTCCTCAGTAACAAACATGTTATATCTTCTATCCTTGTTTTTGGTCTTATTTTTTAATAGCTGGAGGTTTCAAGACAATATAAATTGATAGTGGCAGCAGCATACATCCATGTTTTGTTCTAAATTATAATGGCAATGCCTCTAGCTCTTTACTGCCTAGTAAACTATTACCTTCTGATTGTAGATATTTTTCATTATCCTAAGCATATTCAGAAGAAAAATTGTTCAATGTTTTTTCTCCTCTTTGATTTATCCTTTTCAAGTTTTGATATCAAATGTATTCTATTTTTATGAAAGGAATTGGAAAGTTTTCCATCTATGATTAGCTTGTATAGCTTAGAAAGAGCTATGATTTAAAAGTTTGAGAAAAATTATGTCAGAATAATCCAGCTGCAGAGCATTTTTTTCTTCAAAAAGTTAATTTCTTTCATCACAATATTCAGTTATCTATTTCTTGAGTTGATTATAATAATTCATATTTTCCTTTAAAATTATTTTGCCACCAAATTATTAACAGACTTATGTTAATAGGTCTATACACAGCATTCTCTTTAAATTATTTGATTTATTCAATATCTGATGTAATAATTGCTTTCCTATTTTGCTTGTCTTCTTTCATTTTTTGTTATCAGAATTTTCAGACATTTGTTGCTTTTTAACTTTTTTCCAAAGGGCACATTCTTTGATTTTGTAACTTAATTTTGTATTTGCTTTCTAACAAATTTATTTTGTGGTTGTGTTTATTTCTATAATATTCTTATTTCTACATTGGTTATTAAGCTTTTAAATAAACTGTATAATTCTTATTTTTTCTTTTTCAATAATAGAAATTTATACTGCTACAAATTTGCATCAGAGTCCAAATCCTGTTAAGTAACATCCTATTGCTTTTGAGAGGTAGTGATCTTCATCACACTATTTTAAGATACCGTGTGTTGTAGCTTGGGGTTCCCAGAAAGCAGACCCTGAACAAGTACTTGGGCGTAGAAAGTTATCTAGAATGTGATTCTGGGAAGCATAAAAGAGGAAGTAGAGAAAGTGATAATGGGCAGGAGAAAAGCCAATAAAGAGTGAATTAATAAGTGGTTTAATGCTATGAGCAACGGGAACTCCATCTCTGAAAAAAAGTTGATAGCATGTCCTGGAAATGTCCCATTGAGGAAAGGGAAAGCTGGGATATGTACCCGTAAACATTCCTGAGGGTGTTAAATCCTCAGTAATTCTAGGCGGCCATGCCTGTGAGCAAAGCAC
Source organism: Homo sapiens (assembly GCF_000001405.40). NCBI lineage: Eukaryota > Metazoa > Chordata > Mammalia > Primates > Hominidae > Homo > Homo sapiens. The sequence goes on along the minus strand of NC_000006.12, from coordinate 8,255,220 downwards.
ACTGAAGAAATCCTTAAAGCTAAGAAATAGAAAGCCATGGTGGTTTGAGGCAGGAAACTATCACTGCTCATGGATGCTGTTCATCTCAGCTGAAAGTGAACTTAGGCAAGGGCTGGGGGGCTAAGGATGAGCATCAACAGCATCTACTGCAATGTGTAATTATGGATTTGCTTTCATTTTTATTCAAGAATATTTTCCCAAGTGGTTTGTTGGGGCTTCATTTTTTAAATGTGTATGCTTTTAGATTTTAACACGAGTATTCATTGCACATTAAAATACACATTCTCAGCTGTAATATGTAAGTTTTTCTGTAAATGGAAGAAAGGACAACAGATGAATCTTTAGGAAATTTTACATTTCAGAACAATAAACACTATTGTTTTTAGCATAGCTGTTTTACGGATTTCTTTTATTCATTCAATTAGTATCTACTCCAGTGTGTTATTGTTCAAATCATGTAACATTTTTATATTTCTTTAAGTTTTTTATTTTGAAATAGTTTCAGAATCAGAAAAATTGAAAGAAAAGTACAGAAAACTCCTGTATAAACTTTATCCAGATGTAAGGGTCTCTTTCTGAACTCAATTCTGTGTGGTTAATCTGTTTGTCTATCCTTTCGCAAATATCACACCAGTTTGATGATTAGAGCCTTATGATAAATTTTGAAGTCGCAAAGTATTAAAATATATATATAACAAAAAGTCTTCCAATTTTGTCATTTTTTTAAGAAATGCTTTTGCTTTTAGTTCCTTTGGTTTTCATATATATAATATACACACATATATAACATATATGTGTATAATATACACATATATAACATATATGTGTATAATATACACATATATAACATATATGTGTATAATATACACATATATAACATATATGTGTATAATATACACATATATAACATATATGTGTATAATATACACATATATAACATATATGTGTATAATATACACATATATAATATACACACATACAATATACACATATATAATATATATACAATATATACATATAATATATACATATACAATATATATACATATATAATATATACATATATAATATATATACATATATAATATATACATATATAATATATACATATACAATATATACATATATAATATATACATATACAATATATACATATATAATATATACATATACAATATATACATATATAATATATACATATACAATATATACATATATAATATATACATATACAATATATACATATATAATATATACATATACAATATATATACATATATAATATATACATATACTATATATACATATATAATATATACATATACTATATACACATATATAATATATACATATACTATATACACATATATAATATATATACATATATATCTCTCATATATTTTCGAGACAGGGTCTCAGCATGTTGCTCAGGTTGATCTGAAACTTCTGGGTTCAGACAATTCTCCCGCCTTGGCCTCCCGAAGTGCTGGGATTACAGGTATAAGCCACTGTGCCCAGCCTGATTTTCATATACATTTTAACAGAAGTATTTAAAGCTATAAATTTCCCTCTAAGCCTGCTTTAGCTGTATTTGACAAATTTTAATATGTTGTACTCCATTATTCATTTTTAAATATCTTCAAACGTCTCTCTGATTTTTTCTTTGACCTTTAGATTGCTTAGAAAACAGCTGATTAATTTCCCAACATTTAGGGTTTTTATAGGTTTTAGGGTTTTTATAGATTTTATTGTTTTCTATTTTTGATGTAATTTTATTATAATTAGAGAACATACTCTGTGTGATTTCAATCCTTTTAAATTTATTGAAATTTTTACTGCACAGCTAACCTTCATGTTATATTGGTGAACATACCATTGACAGCTGAGAATATGTAATCTGCATTTGTTGGTTAAAACATTCTATAAACATCAATCAAGTCAAGGTGGTTGATAGCATTGTTCTGGTATTCTATGTTTGTTTTAGTTCATTTTGTGTTACTGTAAGGGAATACCTGAGACTGGGTCATTTATTGTTTTTATAGAAAGGTTTATTTAGTTCATAGTTCTGCAAGCTGAGAAGTTCATGGTCATGGTCCCGGCTTCTGGTGAGGGCTTTCGTGCTGCATCACAACGTAACAGATCGGGGGTGGACACATTCACAGACAAAATCTGAGGGGTGTCCTGGCTTTATAACAACTTCCAGTCTTGAGAAAACCAATCCATTCCCATAAGAACTAACCCAGTCTCCCACGAGCAAGAACCCACTACCTCGAAAGCAACATCAAGCAATTTGTGAGGTACCTGCCCCCATAATCCAAACACCTCCCAGTAAGCTCCGCTTCCCAAAATCATCACATTAGGGATTAATTTTCAACATGAATTTTGGAGGGGACAAATATTCAAACCACAGCAATGACTTTATTGATTTCTTTGTCTAGTTGTTCTATTAATTGCTAAGAGAGGCATGTTGCAGTCTCGTGTTTTCATGGAATTGACTATTTCTCCCTTTAATTCTATCAATTTTTGATTAGCATATTTTGAAACCCATTATTAGACTTAAACACATTTGAGATGGCTATCGCTTCCTGAAAAACAAAGTATTTTATCATTACAAAATATCTTTATCTCTGGTAATGCTCTTTGTCTTGAAGTCTTTTTTATCTGATATGAATTCCACTCCACTCAACTATCATTACTATTTGCACAGTATATCTTATTCTATCCATTTCTTTTTGATCTGTCTATAGCTTTATAATTAGAGCACTTTTGTATACAGTACATAGTTAAGTATTGCTTATTATCCAGTTTGATCATCTATGCAGTTTAATTGGAGTGTTTAGTTCATTAATATTTAGTGCACTGTTGATATGATTGGAATTAGGCCTATCATTTTATTATTTATTCACCATCTGTCCTTTTAAGTTCCTGCTCCCTAGTTCCTCTATTCTTGCCTTATTTTAGATTCTTTGAATTTTTTTAAAAAATTATTTTATTTTTCTGTCAGCTTTTTAGCTTTACTGCTTTGCATATTATTCATTGGACACTATGGGGATTACGATACACACTATAAACTTTTCAGTCCTTTTACAATCAATATTGTATCTCTTCCTATATTCTACGATACAGTTGGTATACGTATTACATCTGTAGACTATATATGCCCCCACAAGAATTTTGTGTAATCAGTACTTTAAACAGACCTATGTAGTGTAAAAGAAAGTAAGAAGAAACTTATTTTATATTTACCCAGGTATCTACCATCTCTAATATTTTTTTCCTGAAAATATAAATTTACATCCAGTATTATTTTCTTTCAGTCAGAAGAACTTCATTAGCATTTTTAGTGCATGTCTGCTGTTGACAAATTCTCTTGATTGTTTTTTATTTGAAAATGCTTTTTGTTTGCCTTCATTTTAAAGGATATTTTCACTGAATATAGAATTTGGAGTTGAAAGCTTGTATTTTTCTTTCAGCAGTTTAAAGAAGTTATTCCATTTCCTTCTGGTCCCCAGAGTTCCTCATGAGAAATCAGTGATTATTCAGAATGTTGTCCTATTGTATGTAGAATGTCATTTTTCTCTAGCTGGTTTAGATATTTTCTTTTTATACTGAGCCCACTTCAAGTACTTTTCCGCCAATTCTCACTCTTCTTTTCTTCTGGGACTCAAATTACTCATATATTCGATACTTTGATATTTTCCATGGTTTCATGTGGGTTTTTAAAATTCATTTCTGTTTAAATCATTATCTCTTTGGCCTACAGCTTGGATAATTTCAAGGTCACGAACTCTTTCTTCTGTTGTATACAGCATGCTGTCAAGCACATACAGTGATTTTTAAATTTCAGATATTGTATTTTTTACTTATGTAATTTCCATTTATTTCACTTTTTATGGTTTATAATTCTCTGGTGAGATTTCCAATATTTTCGTTTATTTTAAGTATATATTCCCCTACCCTTGAGCATAATTGTAATAGCTGCTTTAAAATGCTTATCTGTTAATATGTGGACTTCTGTCCTGTGGTTCTTTAAGCCAGTAGGATGATGGGTTTTTATCCATTTTTGACAACCTGACAGGACAACAACTGGGACTTACCCTCAAGCTAAAAGCCTTAAGAATGTGGGACTCACTCAGTTCTCTTCCTTGGTTTAGCTTTTAGTGCTTCTCTAGTATCTGCCTGCTTTTATTTGCTCCCTGGTGCCTTAAAGTAGTTGTTTTTTAATATTTTGTCTCAAGGATATTTTTTATTATTTGTGAAAGTGCTGAGTTTATAGGAGCTAATATATCATTACCAATTAATCACTTTTGACCATATTTTTTGTGATTTTCTAAAATTGGGGATGTCATGCAACTTATATAATGGAATTTCTGTGATTATCAAAAACTTTCAAATTTGAGTAATGTATATGAATAAAATAATTTCATTGTTACTTGTTTGAAACTGCCCTTTTACTTACAGACATTGTGCCAACAACTAGGGACTATTAGAAGTTTACAGAAGAAACTGAGTGAAAACCACCTATCTGTCTAACAGATATACTTGCCTTTTTTTTCTTTTTTTTCCTCACTACCTATCTGTATAATCGATATACTTGCCTTTTTTTTCCTCACTACATTTTTTATTTTACCTTTTTTTAATTCTTCAGTCTCAATTCACCCTCACCTTAAATAGACAGGTATCCCATCCTTTATTCTCCAGAAAACAAAATCCTAGGTGTTAAATTTGAGGCACTTTATACTGACACCTCTCCACTGCCTCTACTGAAATACACAGCAAATATTATCAACTTCTACTTCTCTCTTCAAAATAATACTTGCATTTGTTTTCATTCCCAAAGCAAGACTCACAGATGCTGAACATGTAGTATGTGCTCAATAAATACTCAGGTGAATGAAAGAATCTCATCCATCATTACGCCTCTGTACATTTTTCTTGAGCCACTACTTCAGCCAGAAATTCCTTTGCTAAGAGACAAAACAGTCTTAATTGAATATTCTGCACGGTCTTGGCTCTATATCTCAAACTCCAAATTATGTTTAACATTTCTCCTAGTAGATATTTAATTCTAAATATGATTGATAATAAACTAGAAACTAAAAGGCTCAAAGCTTCTTTAGCAGACATTTATTTTCCTCCCTCTATCCTCTCACAGCTCTTGGTTCATTTAATGTCAGCCAAGGAGGCTTATCCATGGATGATAGAAGGTCTATCTAGTTCCCTGAGCAAATGGGCAGATAAACTGATAAGAGAAGTGATCCTTAAGTATTTCAGAGGTGAAAGTTCTCTGAGACCTTATTCAACTTGGAGTTACTTGTGCTGAGTTTTAAACCCCTCATCTGGAAGAGTCCATTCCATTATATAGTGTGGAAAGTGATTACTTTCCAGAAACCTGTTCTTTGCTGTCAGTTACTGAATTATTTGCAGCAGGTGGAAGTTTCTTTGTTCTCATCTGACTAGGAGGCACCCCACCCTGACAAATGGCTTCTAATAGCCAGGACCAATTATCCAGGCTTCTGTCTCTCAATCATTTGCACTCTGGGTCCCCTGCTTGGATGCACACATCTACTTTTTTATACAATTCATTTTTCTTTAGCTATTATCTCATCTCAATTAATACTGGATGGTTTTAGATTATCCTCTTCTATGCCATAATGTTGAATTAGAGAGAGAGAGAGAGAGAGATGATAGATAGATGACAGATAGATAGATAGATAGATGTTTATGTATTTAACTAAAGTAATATTTTGTGCTTGCTCACCTTCATACACACCAGTCTGTGCTCATATACAATATTTCTACAGCACTTTGAATAGGAAATTGAATTGATACAAAGGCTTGTGAGATTAGAATTGGAAAAAACAACTTTAAAGTTCATATGGAACCAAAAAAGAGCCTGCATTGCCAAGTCAATCCTAAGCAAAAAGAACAAAGCTGGAGGCATCATGCTACCTGACTTCAAACTATACTACAAGGCTACAGTAACCAAAACAGCATGGTACTGGTACCAAAACAGAGATATAGGTCAATGGAACAGAACAAAGCCCTCAGAAATAATGCCGCATATCTACAACTATCTGATCTTTGACAAACATGACAAAAACAAGAAATGGGGAAAGGATTCCCTATTTAATAAATGGTGCTGGGAAAACTGGCTAGCCATATGTAGAAAGCTGAAACTGGATCCCTTCCTTACACCTTATACAAAAATTAATTCAAGATGGATTAAAGACTTAAATGTTAGATCTAAAACCATAAAAACCCTAGAAGAAAACCTAGGCAATACCATTCAGGACATAGGCATGGGCAAGGACTTCATGTCTAAAACACCAAAAGCAATGGCAACAAAAGCCAAAATTGACAAATTAGATCTAATTAAACTAAAGAGCTTCTTCACAGCAAAAGAAACTACCATCAGAGTGAACAGGCAACCTACAAAATGAGAGAAAATTTTTGCAATCTACTCATCTGACAAAGGGCTAATATCCAGAATCTACAAAGAACTCCAACAAATTTACAAGAAAAAAACAAACAACCCCATCAGAAAGTGGGCAAAGGATATGAACAGACACTTCTCAAAAGAAGACATTTATGAAGCCAAAAGACACGTGAAAAAATGCTCATCATCACTGGCCATCAGAGAAATGCAAATCAAAACCACAATGAGATACCATCTCACACCAGTTAGAATGGTGATCATTAAAAAGTCAGGAAACAACAGGTGCTGGAGAGGATGTGGAGAAATAGGAACACTTTTACACTGTTGGTGGGACTGTAAACTAGTTCAACCATTGTGGAAGTCAGTGTGGCGATTCCTCAGGGATCTAGAACTAGAAATACCATTTGATCCAGCGATCCCATTACTGGGTATATACCCAAAGGATTACAAATCATGCTGCTATAAAGACACATGCACACGTATGTTTATTGCGGCACTATTCACAATACCAAAGACTTGGAACCAACCCAAATGCCCAACAATGATCGACTGGATTGAGAAAATGTGGCACATATACACCATGGAATACTATGCAGCCATAAGAAATGATGAGTTCATGTCCTTTGTAGGGACATGGATGAAGCTGGAAACCGTCATTCTCAGCAAACTATCACAAGGACAAAAAAAAACAAACACGGCATGTTCTCACTCATAGGTGGGAATTGAACAATGAGAACACATGGACACAGGAAGGGGAACATCACACACCGGGGCCTATTGTGGGGTGGTGGGAGCGGGGAGGGATAGCATTTGGAGATATACCTAATGTTAAATGATGAGTTACTGGGTGCAGCACACCAACATGGCACATGTATACATATGTAACTAACCTGCACGTTGTGCACATGTACCCTAGAACTTAAAGTATAATTTTAAAAAAGATTAAAAACTTTTATAAGGAAAAAAAAAAGGCTTGTGAGATGTAAATCTTATTCATAGTAAAAGGACTCCTGCACCTGAAGATTGTCCTATAAACCATCTCTACAACATGCATTAAATTCATGTTTTTCTGTTCAGACTCTGACCCAGGTTTTCTAATGTCATGCAGTGTCTTTGCCTCTAGATGCTCCAAATGTCCATCTATACTTCTCACATCTCTACACTCCAGAGGTTTAAATTCAGATCTCTTTACACTATAATTTTTAAGTGTTTTAAGATCCCTTCAAAAACTTTCTCTACAGTCTCCTTCTTCCTCAAAGAGTATATATGTGATCAAACCAACCTCCAAACTCAGCTTCATTTGGATGAATGATTAAGACTTTTTCATTTGTGTATTTTGTTCCTATTCATTCACAAAATTCTCTTAATTTTTCTTTTGTTTTGTGTTGTTGTTGTTGTCCTTCATATGAATTGAAACAGTCACAAAATAACCAGTCGACTCAGGCAATTTTAAGAACAATCACTGAAGCAATATGTGGTAATGACAGATAAAACAGAACAGGTAAACTAGATGTTCCCTATTTAGCCAATTATTTGTAGATACAAACATAATTCCCTATTCACATATGAAGTCTTTGTTTATTTGCATTAAGGCTGCATGGCCATATCTGTTCAAATTTGCAGAGTGTCATATTTTATTATGATGATCATTGTAAAATAGATTGCTAATATCTTCCCCGTACCCAAAATCTGTCAGAGATATTTTAGGTATCACTGCACCACTAACTCAAGCTGTTCATATAGAAGGAAGGTAATCAGAATTGAGAGAAAAAAATAGAAAAGAAAATAAAAACCATTTCCCAAAAGTGCAGGAGCACATGAAAACTTGTCTAGCTAATCATCAGGAGTGTAAAATGTTTATTTCTCAGTTAATAAGCACCACCTGTGTTTATAAGAAGTCTCTGATGACTTGTTTTGTCTCTTGCAAAGAACATAAAACGTTCTCAGATGGATTTCATAGAGTATATGCAGATTATTAATACATTTTCAAATCCCACCATGACTGATGCAGCCTTCATTGTCTTCTTTCCACTCCCTACTACACACTTTCTTCTTTAATTTTTTTATTGAAATGATATAGTATAAAAAATCATTGACTACATATAAATCAATTGTCTGTGACATGTTACAGGGAAAAAGAAAACATCAAGATTGCCAATAACAGGCACTCAGTCTCATAAAACTTGTAATCAACTTCTAAGCCAAGGCGTAAACTGTAATATATTGCCACAAACCTATAACAATAATAAACTATTTGAATTGCACCTTCACATTCTCAGTCGTTAATAACAAATAAGCATGAAAAAATTTTGACATTCATTCATTTTAATGGGTGTCTGCTTGTTTATCAGATTGTGTCATCTGGCATTACAAAATACAGCCTTATCCTTGGAAGGGTATGTAGAGAGAAAGTGTCTAAGCTTTGGGTACTAACTACAGACAATAAGGACTCCATTTGTTGGAAAATTTTAAGAGTAACTTATTCTTTATCTCAGTTCAAAGATTATACCAAGCCTTTCCTTAGTCCTAAGAGAAAATAAAAAAGCAGATCCTCCATCTGATTAATTTTTATTATTAGGACTCCTCCAGGCATCTATTGCTGCAGAAAAGCCACTTCAAAATGGTGGCTTGAAACAATAACAATCACTTATTTTGCTTATAAATCTGTTAGCTAGCCGGGCTCCACTTGACAGTTTTCATCTGAGGTCTCTCATACAGTGGCAATCAGTCTGTGGCTGGGTCCGAGGGCTGAGGTTGTCTTGAGAGCTTTTCATTCACGTTTAGTGCCTGGGCTGGGAGGATTCAAACAGCTGGGTGCTGGAACAGCTGGAGTTCCTTGGGCGGCTCTCTCTGCCTCTCATCTCTCCATGTGGTCTCTGCATGTGCTGGCCTCAGGGTAGCCAGACTTCTCACATGGTGACTGAAAGCTCAGAGCAATTGTCCTGAGAGGGAGCAGGTGGAAGCAGAATCACCTTTTATGACCTAACATCACAAATCACACTTTGGCCGCTCTCTACTAGCCGAGACTGTCACACAAGCCCAGGTTCAAGGGGAAGAAATATACATGCCACCTCTTGAGGAGGAGTCAATGAGGTTCTTAGATAACATGGGAAACAGTGTGGTCAATTATTTTTGCAAAATACACTCTGCCACCTAGAGTTCTGTGGCACACGTCCACACTCCAATGCACACACACTCACACACAATAAACAGAATTCTTGCTTGATAATGCAGCGAAATACCATGAGGCTAATAGTGCAAAGTTTCCTGAAATGCTCCCAAAAGCTCCCATAGTTGTGCTGTAGTCACTTTGTAAATGACCATGTTAGACAAATACAGTTGGGTTCATGAAAAGATGTCTTAGTGCCTTCAATACACCAAGAGGCAGAAAGAATCTCAGAAGCCTCGTTGCTCAAAATAGGGCTTATGGACCAGCAGCATCGCGTCACTGGAGCGCTGGTTAGGAATGCGGATGCTCAGGCCCCACATGGACCTACTGAGCTAGCATCATCCCCAGGTGATCTGCATGCACATCAAGCATTGTCTTACAGGACTGTGCAGTATGGAGTGTTCGCCAAACAAATGTGTCTGTGGAGTCCTACGCTGGGCACTTCCTGGGATTATGGGGAATTCACTTTGGGATCACTGTGATATAAGTGTTCATAGGGACCTGCAGCCTCCCCCACACCATGCCCGACTGTCTAAAACTTCTCCCAAGAGAACTTGATGGCTCAGATCTCAGGCCTGAGAGGAGTGAAAAAAGGCTCCTGGCACCTAACCACCCAGCTGTCTAAACTCTTCTCGCCCTCCCCACAGTCCACTGGGGCTTAGGAAGGTGGGCTCTTTTCATAGCTTCCTTTCCTATTTGGTTGGAATTTCCCCTACACCATAATCTAATTTATACTTCATTCTTCACTGTACCCCAGTGCTCAGGGCAAGTCACATAGGAGGGAGTCCACCAGAATCTGTGGAACGAAAGAATAAGTGGGCTGGATGCAGTGGCTCACACCAGTAATCCTAACACTTTGGGAGGCCAAGGCAGGAAGTTTGCTTGAGGCCAGACGTTCAAGACCAGCCTGGGCAACATAGCAAGACTCTATCTCTACAAAAATTTTTTAAAAAACCAGCCATGCGTGGTAGTGCATGCCTGTAGTCCCAGCTACTCGGGAGGCTGAGGCAGGAGAATTGCTTGAGCCCAGGAGATCAAGGATCTAGGGAGCCGTGATCACACCACTGCACTCCAGCCTGGATGACAAAGTGAGTCCCTGTCTCCAAGAAAAAAAACGTGGGGGTGAGTGTGGTGGCTCATGCCTGTAATCCCACTGCTTTGGGAGGTCAAGGCAAGAGGATCGCTTGAGACCAGGAGTTCGAGACCAGCCTGTGCAACATGGCGAGACCCTCTATGTACAGAAATTTTTTAAGAAACATTAGCCAGGCATGGTGGCACATGCCTGTAATGCTAGCTACTTGGGAGGCTGAGGCAGAAGGATCACTTGAGCCCAGGAGGTGGAGGCTGAAGTGAGCTATGATCACACTGCTGTACTTCAGCCTGGGAGACAGAGGAAGACCCTGCGTCAAAAAAAAAAAAAAAAAAAAAAAAGAATAAGTGAATGAATGTTAGCAGACGGGGAACAGAGGAAGAAACCAATTCATAGATAGCTATGTGAACATGGGTCAGGAAGAGCAGTCACTACATCTGTTTCCTTTTCTTTTTCAAGTGTACCTGTGCTCTCCCTTGTCTTACTCAGATGTGCCTTCCCTATGTCAGTTGCTCAGCAGAGGACCCAGGACCATTGAAAAAATGACAGTAAGTTTTATTTAGAAGCCTCACTGAAAACTATAGATGGAGGCCTACAGCTTGGGGGCAGTTCTGTCAGACTGCTCCAACACAGTACTACAACTCACAGTTTATATACAGGTGGTGAAGATTCAGTAAGTGCAAATCTCATGAAAGTTTGGGTGTAAGAGTACATCTGGTTATAGATTACTAAAGTACATTTGGTTATAGATTGTGGATGCATAATCACTAACCCTGTCAGATGTTATCTTATGTGTAGGAAAAGGCAAGGCGAGGTCATTTATCTTTTAAGGAATGTAATGACTCAGGCAAGAGACGTGGGGAGGCTGTGTGCTCTATTCTGTTTTGTCTTCAAGGCATTCTTCCAGAGAGCTGCATTTCATCAGAGTTGGGGGTTCAAGCAGAAATGAGCAAGCGTGGCTTCTTATATTGGTTACTTTGTCTCACAATAGTCAAGTCTGTATATATACTGGCAGTCTTTTCCCAATTTCCATATTCCTCTTCTATTTTCTCCTCCTCCTCCTGTAAGCGTATAGCCCTCAAGGTTGTTTTGCTTATTGTGAAGAAATGGGAAAGAGGAGGAGGGAGAAGGATGTCAGGGGTTTGAGGGATTTGGGAGTGATTAAGAAACAGCAACACATAACAAGCTTGGTGCTTGGACAGGGTTGCATGGGGGAGAAAGTCCCTCATAGAAGAAGTCTGTTCAGAGGCTAAAAAGCAGAGGCCGCTGCTCAGAATGGGGGAGCATAGGCAACTCTCCAGGAGAAGAGGGGAGAAGAGGGGCTCAGATGTCTAGTGATGTGGCACAGCAGCACAGAGAGCAGTCTCTGGGTCAGGGAGCTCAGAGGGCTCATTGGGAAGAATAGCAGCTTGGGATTTTATCATGGGAAGGCCGTGTATTATCAATAGATGACAGCTGTTGGGTGAGGTTATGCAGGTATGCAAATCAGGCAGTTTCTAAATGGCTTCAAAATTTGCTTGTTTGAGCTATTTTAAAAATAACTGATGTGTACAAATTTGGATTGGGCACTAGTAAGCATTTGAGCTAATGGGTCTCAGCCCACAGTCAAAAAATTGACAACTGTGGGGCCAGTTCGCAGAGGCTATCAATGTTCACATATATGAGAGAGGAGGACGGTGTCAAACATTCCCCAGCACTGCACTGCGAGGAGGAGAAAGCAGAGAAGAAGTTGAAGTGGCTAAGGGGTTTTTCTTGGATGCTAGGATTAGCTAATTACGCCTCAAGTAACCCAGCATGGCCCACCCTGTACTATCCTGTAGTGGCAATTCAAGAATCACTGGAATCAATCAAACCATGGAGAAACACAAATTGCTCTCATTTACAGATTCTTTGGGAATGGAAGTACCGTACTAAATGCTATCAAAATACCTACGCTTGTCAAAAAGATGTCATTATTTTACATTTGTCTGATGCTTTACTATAAAATCGAAAATGTCAACCACAATCCTTCTTGCTTAAGAAAATACTGTGTATATGGAAATGGCGTGTACGGTTATGATGACACTATTGACTGGATTTTGGTTATGCATTTTTTTTCAATAAGGAAATCATTGTTATGGAGTTTGTGTTTCTTTTTTTCTTTTTTTTTTTTTTTTTACAGAAGGCAGTATCATTAGTCGGGCACTCAGACTGCATAACCCTTCTTACAACAGGCTCAGTCACAAGGAACCATGTAGATTGGAAAAAGAAACACATTACTGCACACCCATGAAAGGGGTCTTTGTAAAAGCACAGGGGGCAAGGAGGTGCATCTAGATCAATCAGCCTCAAACACAGGGTGAGATATTATCAAACCAGATTTCACTCAAGCTAACAGCTCTTAGCTCTCAAGTTCAACTGTTTTCTAATACATCAAATTTTCCATTAAAAGGCAAACTATTGGTAGCATTTTTGGTGGGGGAGATTATGGAAAATAATTTTAGAATGTTCATGTCCCCTTCCATGGGACAGAGGGAAGGACCTTTCATAGCCAGGTAGCAATTCTAGAAAAATGAAGCCTCTCATGTTGGAAGAAAAATAAACCAATTTTTAATACTCAAGAATACAATGGCTGTTTCCATTTTCAACCTGGTGGTTTATTTACACTTTCGGGACCATTACAGATCTCCTGCGAGGCAGATGAAGTGGATTTCATTTCTGCTCT